>NC_000001.11:212427011-212578526 GCF_000001405.40 Homo sapiens
AGTCAGCATGAGGTAATCGAAGCCCAGGCTCTGGCTCTAACAGCTTCTAGCTCAGCTCAAAAAGGAGTTAATGGGCTGGGTGTGGTGGCTCACACCTGTAATCCCAGCACTTTGGGAGGCCGAGGCGAGTGAATCACCTGAGGTCAGGAGTTTGAGACCAGCCCGACCAATAGGACGAAACCCCGTCTCTACTAAAAATACAAAAATTAGCTGGGCATGGTGGTGGGCACCTGTAATCTCAGCTATTCGGGAGGCTGAGGAATCACTTGAACCCAGGAGACGGAGGTTGCAGTGAGCCAAGATTGCACCATTGTACTCCAGCCTGGGTGACAGAGCAAGACCCCATCTCGCTCTCTCTAAAAAAAAAAAAAAAAAAAAAAAAAAAAAAAAGCAGTTAATGGCTCCTACCATAGCCCTTCAATTGGGAAATGATTTAAGAATGAATATTTACACTGACTCCAAGTATGCCTTTCTGGTCTTCATGCTCATGTTATCATTTGGAAGGAACAGAGATTCCTAACTGCTGCTAAGGGTTCCTGTATAAAATACCACTCAGAAATTTTAAATCTACTAGATGCTGTCCTGCTATCAAAGGAAGTTGCTGTGAGTCACTGCAGGGGGCATCAGAAAGGAGACTCCACTATAATAAAAGGAAATTCTTTTGCAGGTGCTATACCTAAGGCAGCTGCATTAAGGGAGCCAGTCAACTTTGTGGGCATGTTGGTACCCACTGCCCTGGTGATGACAAAGCCAGAGTATACTAAAGGAGAACAGGAATGAGCTAAAACCCATGGATTAACTTTAAACCCTTCCAGATGGCTAATTGATGAAAATGGCAAGCTATATGTACCAAAGGCTGATCAATGCAAAGTAGTTAAACATGTGCATGATTCCACTCATTTGAGAAGAGATTCCCTATTTCAACTGATGACTTGTCTTTTTATAGGAAAAAACCTTCTTAAAACAGCAAAACAAGGGACTTGGGCCTGTGAACTATGTGTCCAAAATAACCCAAATAATCAAACTTTACCTCCTCCTTTAGTAAATCCTGTTCAGCACAGGGGAACATACCCAGGTGAAGACTGGCAAATAGACTACACTCAAATACCCCCATGGAAAGGATTCAAATATTTATTAGTATTCATTGATACCTTTACTTGTTGGATTGAAGCTTTTCCTACCTGGTCTGAAAAGGCAACTGACATTTCTAAATTTTTATGAAAGGAAATAATCCCTAAGTACCTTTACCTCCTCCTTTAGTAAAGCCTGTTCAGCACAGGGGAACACACCCAGGTGAAGATTGGCAAATAGACTACACTCAAATACCCCCATGGGAAGGATTCAAATATTTATTAGTATTCATCGATACCTTTACTTGTTGGATTGAAGCTTTTCCTACCTGGTCTGAAAAGGCAACTGACATTTCTAAATTTTTATTAAAGGAAATAATCCCTAAGTTTGGGCTGCCTAAAAGCTTACAGAATGGCTCATTTTTCACAGCAACAAGAACCCAAAATATATCACCGGCTCTAGGAATTCAGTATCATCTTTATTCAGCATGGAGGCCACAGTTTGCAGGAAAAGTAGAAAGGGCCAAACTTCAAAGAGGACTCTTGCCAAGTTATGCCAGGAAACATCAGAAACCTATTCGTCTCTATTGCCTGTGGCCTTGTTGCTAGTTTTGGCTGCCCCTAAGGGAAACTTGCAGCTCAGCTCTTTCGAAATAATGTATGGAAGTCCTTTCTTAACTGCAGATTTCCTAGTAGATATAGATACTTTCAAATTACAGAACTACGTTATTAACTTAGGTCGGGTGCAAAAAGCTCTTCTTGAATATGGAAATCAGAGACTTCCTCCCTCCACTAAGGAAGAAAATGCTACAATCCAGCCAGGAAACTGGGTTCTATTAAAAACTTGGAAGGAAGGGTCTCCGTTAGATCAACCTTCCCCAAAGTACTTGTACAAAGTACTCTACCAAGTACTCCTTAGTACCCAAACTGCAATTAAACTTCAAGGAATAAGCAGCTGGGTTCATTTATCTCGAATTAAACCCATTTCTTATGAAGTCCCACAGGCTGAGACTGATCTCACTTATCCCTGTGTACCAACCACTGATCTCTGGCGCCTGCTCAGAAGAAACAAGAAGGATGAATAACTTAAAGATTTGGATTAACATCTTAATTCTGCGCATGTATTGGAACCAGCTAAGAAGCAATCTCTTTGCCAAATGGGCACAGACTTTAGCCTCCCTACACAACAACACTAATTGCTGAGTATGCACGGAACTAATGCCTCCTCCACCTCAGGCTGCCCTGGCACATCCTGCCAGCCACTATGAGCATATGGGGAAATTATTATGATTGGGGTAAATGGACCACCCTTTTTCCCTTCTACTACAGAAACACAGGGCCCAGCCCTTTCCCTTCCCACCGTGAAACAAAGAAGCCTCTTTTTTGTTTGATCAGAAAATTAAACTCCACTCTGACGTAAGGTTATACTGTACACGATGAATGGATGACAGCTGTCTAAGTTCAGGTATTAGGCAGAGTGCCCCTATGCTTTGAAAGACAATAGCAGTGATTACTACACTGAAACCTGTAACATGGAATGGTTACTACCCCAACACTATAATTGCACCCTTCTTGTAACTAGCCAAACGTGGATGGGATGGCAAAATGAGTCTTTATGGCTAGGTGCTTGTACTTCTCCTTGGGGTTGATTATGGGCATGTGGGTCACATGGCTGGCCATATGTGCCTTATAATTGGACTGGAAGATGTACATAGGGTCATCTTCATCTCCCAGGATGTATCCTCACTAAATTATAATCTCTCCCATCTAACTGGGAAACTGTAAAAGCTCGTCATAAGTGACAAAAGCAGTCTTCTTGGTTGTTTTACCCATTGGCTATCTGTCACATGTGTCCGTATAGAAGACCACCTAAACAGGCTTTGTGTGAGCAACAGGGCTGTTTATTCACTTGGGTGCAAGTGGGCTGAGTACGAAAAGAGAGTCAGCGAAGGTAGATAGGAGAGGGGCAGCTTTATAGGACTGAGGTAGGCAGTGGAATGTTACAGTTAGAGGTGGTTATCTATTGTCAGCAGAGGAGGGGGTCACAGGGTCCATGGTGGGGAGATCATAAGATTCATTGTCCAGAAGAAGAATGTCACAAGGTCGATTGATCAGTTGGGGCAGGACAGGAACAATTCATAATGGTGGAACGTCGTAAGGCTGGTCAATCAGTCAAGGCAGGAGCTTCTTTTGTTGCACTTCTTTTGTGTTTTTTTGGCTGCTCCAGACTTCTTGGCTCCTGCAGGCCATCTGGACTTATAGGTGCAGGTCACAAGGGTTACAATGGCTGAGCTTCAGCTCAGAGGCCTGACACTGTCTTCTCCCCACAGGCAGCCACAATTGACATTGAGCTTCAAGCCAAAGCCATAGCTAAACACAGCTGCAGTTTTCAATAATACACGCCATGCCCTTACCCTCTTGACTGAAGAAACATCTCAAATTAGACAGATAGCCTTATGAAACTATGGCTCTGGACATGTTAACAGCAGCTCAAAGGGGGAACTTATGCTATAATCAAAACAGAATGTTATGCATACATTCCAGACTATTCACATAATGTTACTCAGGCCACAAAAGACTTAGACACCCACATCTCTGCCATTGACACGCTGTCAGTTGACCCCATATCAGCTTGGTTCTAACAACTGCCTAGTCCTTGGGAAACTTTTTTTGTTTAGCATGCTTGGGATAATTCTATTCATTCTGTTTTGTGCTGTGGAATATACTGCATTGTACTTTTTATGTAGGAATAAGAGTTAAGCTTATTCAATGCTTCTTTAAATTTAACACGTTAATTTTCTAGATTTCACCTTTTTCTGGGACTTAGAATTATGTATGATTGGTCCTCACTATACAGATGCTTTCTGACTGGCTAGCTCTCTACTTTGGGCAAAGGGATCCTAATGGTTAGGCAGGAATATCATCGCTTCTGTTCAGCTTGAAGTTACTGAAGATGGATCTCTGTCCCCCTGCACCCCTTAGGATTAAAGGTCTCCTTGTAAAAAGGAGGAGGGAATTATGTCAGAAGTGTCCTAACCAGAGTGATTCCATCTTGAATAAAGGTCAGATAAAGCCAAACCTGCTGGGCGACTTTCCCAGGAAGATAGGCACTCTTCACAAGATGTTTATGGTTGAGGAAATGAGATAATGGAAAAAGGCATTCTTAGTTTAAAAATGAGTTTCACTTTAAAGATAACAGTACACCCATAAATTCTCCCTGAAGTCAATAGTTACACAAGAGAATAACAATACTAATAGTCTGTAACAAGCTGATCATAGGCTTTTGTAATGAAGTACGCTAGTTTTAGCCCTATAAAAGCAAGCATTACATTGAAGGCAGAGGTGCTCCTATATAAACAATACTTGCTTAGTACTACTTCAAAGCAAGGATACTACTCAGAAACACAGTAGTACTATTATTAGAAATGGAGTAGTTTCTAATGAACTATTTTAACTACTATGCTCTGCGACTTGCCCTGATTCTTTGCCGTGGACGTCTAAGAACCTGCTCTTGGGTCTGGAATGAGACCCTTTTTCTGTTAATTCCTCTATTCCAGTCTTGAAAGTAAAAGCCAGTCTTGAAAATAACCTGTGAAGCCCCCAAGATCCACCCCCACTCCCTTACCCGCTTCCTTCCTGACTTCACCTACCCCTCTTACCTTCCCTTGATCCTCCAGCAAGCCGGGCATCCTCATTCCTCCGCATTTATGCACCTGATCCTTTGACCAAAGTGCTCTTCCCTCTAGACCGCCTCCTTCGCCTCCTGTAGATTTTTATGCAAATACCCTGTTCTCAGTGAGGCCTTCCCTAACCTGCCTATTTAAAATGACCATCCCCATAACCGGGCACCGTTCCTCACACCTGTAATCCCAGCACTTTGGGTGGATGAGGTGGATGGTTCACTTGAGGCCAGGAGTTCGAGACCAGCCTGGCCAGCATATAGTGAAACCTCATCTCGACTAAAAATTAAAAAAAAAAAAAATTAGCCAGGCGTGGTGGTGGGTGCCTGTAATCCCAACTACTCTGGTGGCTGAGGCAGGAGAATCACTTGAACCCGGAAGGTGGAGGTTGCAGTGGGCCGAGATGGCGCCACTGCACTCCAGCGTAGGCGACAGACTCCGTCTCAAAAATAAATAAATACATAACAATAAAATAAAATAAAATGTCCATCCCAGTGCTCCCTATCTCTTTGCCCTACTTTTTCTCCCTAGTATTTACCACCATCTAACATACTACTTAGCATCTTATTGTCTATCTGCCCACACAATGTAAGCTTCACGTGGGCGTGGATCTGTCTTGTTCAGTGGTGAGTCCCCAGTGACCTGGTACATGGAGGTACTCAAAAATATTTGTTGCATAAAGTAATGAGCAAAGTTTGGCACAAATGTTAGCTATTATTATTTCAGGGCGTATCGGTAACAGCACCCTACCCTTTGCAAAAATCTCCTTGGGAACCAGAAACTTAAACACAACCAGGAAGAAAAAAAATCAGCCAAAAATAAAAGCGAATTAAGACAGTTGGGGTCTTATTTTAGAAATATACCTTTCTAGGTTCTGGTATGTTGGGCTCTGTCATCTTTCTACCTGATCAAGGAACCACTGTGACATTTTTTGGTAACTTCCAGTCTGTAGTTTGGATTTAGGAGTTCAGGATTCCAATCCTAATTTCCAGGTTCCAGCTGCGTGGCCCGAGTAGCCCGGCCAGCCCCACCCCGGGGCGCAGGAGGCGCGCGAAGGGCGGGAGTTCTCGGGTCCCCGCCCTCGGGGAGGCTCTGGGCGCGGGGCGGGACTCCGGGACGCTGGGCGGGCGTGCTAGGGCCCCGCCGCCCTGGCCCGGCCTTGCCTTGCGCTGCGCGCTCACCATGGTGGGCCCCGCGCCGCGGCGGCGGCTGCGGCCGCTGGCAGCGCTGGCCCTGGTCCTGGCGCTGGCCCCGGGGCTGCCCACAGCCCGGGCCGGGCAGACACCGCGCCCTGCCGAGCGGGGGCCCCCAGTGCGGCTTTTCACCGAGGAGGAGCTGGCCCGCTATGGCGGGGAGGAGGTAGGCGGGGGTGTCGCGGGCCGAGGGACCCGGGGTGGCGTCCGATCTGCGGCGAGCCGAGCGGGGACCCAGGAGGCGCCGGCGGCCCAGGAAGCTCTGGGGGACGCGCGGCCCGCGGCGGGCGCCCTGGGCCGGCGGGGGGCCTCCTCTCTCTAGGCCCCGAAGGATGGCCGAGGGGTGAGGACGAGTCCTCAACAGTCGGAGCGCTCCGCTTTGCCCGCACACCCCACCCTGAACTTCTCCCTCGGTCCCCGGGAGATTTCCCCTCTAGCCGCCTTTTCGTTGATGATCTGCGTACAGACCTCAGAACTTTTTGGTTTTCATGTTAGCATCAGCCGAGGCGTTTACTGTGCCCACGCATAGTGGGGAGTGGCGGGGGACGGAGGGAGGGAAGCAGAGCCTGCTCCCTGGGTTAGGTGGGAATTGAGACAGGTCCTGGGATAAGCCAGTCTTTGCCTGCACTTCCTTTTCCTGCCCCTGTATCCCAGGCCTCTGCATCGGACTCCTCAAACCCACTTTTAGGTCATGTACCCCTGGGGCTCAGCCAAAGCTGGAAGTGAGCGCAGAGGGTGGACTGGAGGTTAGAGACCCCCACAACCCCCCCGCCACACGTCAATAGAGACCCCCCCGCCCACACACACCCACACACGTCAATAGTCTAGAGGCGTCCAGAAAACTCACAACCACCTGCCCACCTGGGTTGGTTGGGACTGGAGCCGCACGACAAGGACCAACAGGGGGCTGATATTAGATGTGGAGCGGGGGAACGGCATTGGGGGGAGGTCATAGTACCATAGTATTTCAGAGCTGGCAGGAACCCATCTCCTGCTTTTACACATAAGGAAACTGAGGCCTGCCACCTGTTAGTGGTAGAGCAGGAAGAGGCCTGATGTTTTTCAAAACCCTCTGGCCTGGTCTCGCTAATTCCTGAGTTAATTGGCCTTATATGGACTAGGATTGCATGGGGGTATCAGAAACCTGGCCCTTAGTCAGTGATGCCAGTTTGGGCATCATTTGTGAAGGGGCCATTTAGAACCATGAGTCAGTGAGGACACCGAGGGAGGGAGACATGGCTGGGATGTGAGGATGTTAAGGGATGCCTTTTTGCCGGTAGCAGAGGGAACCAGATGGTTCAGAGTCCAGGCATCCGTGCAGAAAAGAATTAACATGGCAGGCCTGCTCTCCTTAGAAAAGCCTACTTGCAAGGGTGGGACTTGTCTAGTGTCTGGATTTCTCACCCTTCCCTACCCAATAACGGTGGACTCACTTGCCTAGGCCGTATATACAGATGGTGTGGTTAGTATTGAACACTGTATATGCTAGGCAGAGGGTGCCCCATGTGACCAGCCCCCAGTGAAAACCTTGGGTGCTGAGTCTAATGGGCATCTCTAGCAGAGGAATGTTCTGCCAGAAGAATGGCACATACTGTCAAGTTTTGTTGCTGGGGGAAGAGTGTGCTCTTCCTCATGGGAGGGAGAGAGCATAGGAAACCTGCACATAGATTCCCCTAGATTCTCCCTCTGTGTTTTTCCTTCCCAGCTGTGAGTAGAACTATATGCTGGGTTCTTGGAATCTTCCTTCTAGGGACTCTCCAACTGACCCGATGATCTTTGGGACCACTGGCACAAGAATCTAAGGAAAGAGAGAGTTCACCACTGAGGTTACAGCAAGAGTGCCAGAACTGCAAGATGAGGACTGAGAAAAGACCCTTGGTTTTTTGATGTTGATGTTATAGATTGAAATTTAACTGAGAGAGAGAGGACCTTGAGATGGAAACAGGGGTAGGAAACAATTGTTTTGGGAGTGGAGCCTGAGGATCTCTGTAGGTGGAAGGAAGGAGCCAGAGAGAGGAGGGGAGCGAGGGACGAGAGAGGCAGTTGAGTGCAGTGGGTTCAAGCTGTGCTGCGCTGTTGTTTGACCTAGATTGTTCTGGTCTATGCCTGTTATCCAGGGATAATTATTAATAACACCCTTTCACTCAGAAGTGTGACAATTTGTATAATACATTGGATCATACCTGGTTTTGAGTCCCTGTTCTGCTGTGTGATTTGGGGCAAATTACTAAACCTCTCTGAGTCTCCACTTTGTTCGTAAGATACTTGGATTAGTCCAGGTTTCACCAGGGAACAGAACCATTTGGATATCTATATCTATACAGTTGATCCTTGAGCAACACAGGAGTTCGGGGTACTGACCCCCATGCAGTCAAAAGTCTGCATATAACTTTTTTTTCTTTTAGAGGCAGGGTCTTGCTGTGTCGCCCAGAATGGAGTGAGTGGCTTTTCACAGGCAGTCATGGTGCACTAGAGCCTGGCAATCCTGGGCCCAAGCGATCCTCCTGCCGCAGCCTCCCAAGCCGCTAGTATTACAGGTGTGCACCCAGCCATGTATAACTTTTGACTACCCCCAAAACTACAGTTTTTTTCCTTTTTTTTTTTTTTTTTTGAGACAGGGTCTCACTCTATTGCTAAGCCTGGAGTGCAGTGGCAGGAACACAGCTCACTACAGCCTCCTCCTGGGCTCAAGCAGTCCTCCTACCTCAGCCTTCCCAGTTACTGGCATTACAGGTGTGCACCACCACACCTGGCTATTTTTTAAATTTTCTGTAGAGATGGGGTCTTCCTGTGTTGCCCAGGCTGGTGTCAAACTCCTGGGCTCAAGCAACTCTTCCACCTCAGTTTCCCAAAGTGCTGGGAATACACGTGTGAGCCTCCATGCCTGGCTCAAAACTTAATTACTAATAGCCTACTGTTGACCACAAGACCCAAGAACATAGTCGATTACCACGTATTTTGTAAATGTATTATATACTGAATTCTTACAGTAATGTAAGCTAGACAAAAGAAAGTGTTACTAAGAAAATCATAAAGAAGAGAAAATATATTTACTATTAAGTGAAAGTGGATCATTATAAAGGTCTGCATCCTGAGAAGGAAGAGGAGTGGTTGGTGTTGCTATCTCAGGGGTGGCAGAGGTGGAAGAAAACCCACATATAAGTGGACCCATGCAGTTCAAACCTGTGTTGTTCAAGGGTCAACTATATATAGATAGATAAATGGTTTATCATAAGGATTGGTTTACACGATAGCGGGGGCTGGCTGGGCAAATTGGAAATACATAGAGCAGGCTATCAGAAGGGGCAGGCTGGAAGCCCTCAGGCAGGAGCAGATGCTGTAGCCCATGGGTCTTTTTTTTTTTTTTTTTTTTTGAGACGGAGTCTTGCTCTGTTTCCCAGGCTGGAGTGCAGTGGTGTGATCTCAGCTCACTGCAACCTCCGCCTCCCATGTTCAAGCAGTTCTCTACCTCAGCCTCCCGAGTAGCTGGGATTACAGGCGCCCACCACCATGCCCAGCTACTTTTGGTATTTTTAGTAGAGACAGGGTTTCACCATCTTGGCCAGGCTAGTCTTGGACTCCTGACCTCGTGATCCACCCGTCTCAGCCTTCCAAAGTACTGGGATTACAGGCGTAAGCCACTGTACCCAGCCTTGTTAAGGTCTTTCGATTATGAGATTAGGCCCACCCAGATTATCTGGGATTATTTCCTTATATAAAGCCAATTGATTGTAGATGCACAGCAATATCTAGGTGAGTATTTGATTGAATAACTGGGTACAGTAACCTGTGCAAATTGACACATAAAATAAATCATCACAATGGTTATAATAAGAGTTCCTACTTGGCTGAGTGTGGTGGCTCACACCTGTAATCCCAGCACTCACTTTGGGAGGTCGAGGCAGGAGGATTGCTTGAAGCCAGGAGTTTGAGACCAGCCTAGGCAACATAACAAGACCTCACCTCTACCAAAAAAAAAAAAAAAAAAAGAGTTCCTACTCTAAGCAGGTGTTTTGTGAATGCCTGCATTAAATGAGATGGTGGTGTGCACAGGCTTAGCGTAGGCCTGGAATAGGGCTTAGCACCGTAAGTCTTAATAAATGTTAGCTACTATTATTTTTTATTACCTTATTAAAGATACAAGCAAGAGGCATTATAACAGGTCCACGGTCCTTTCATGCACTACAGAAATCTAATAAACTCTGAAACCTAGACATTTTTGTTTTTCACAAGTCATTTGACAGAAAAACCCAGCTTGATCTGAAATCACTTGATGACAGAACCTTGTTGGAGCTGCTATGAGTCTACGTTAGTCTTTATCCCATTTACTGTGAATGTTCATGTTTCACTGGAGAAATACTAACATACTTGATTATGGGTGTTGCCTTGGACCTCCCTAGAGGTATTGCATAATATATGGTATGTTCCCCATAACACCTTTCTAAAATCTGACATATTTTCATATTGAAAACATGTCTGACCCCCAAGAGTTTCTGCTGTGGGATTGTGGACCTGTGTAACAAGGCTTTCTGAAACATCTAGCAATGAGTGACTTGCTTCTACTAGATATAAAAAAACCTTCTTTCTTGGATGAGAGCCAAGGCAGACCCGCCTCTATCAGTCACACATCCCACTGTGTGGTTCAAGGTGAGAGAGCTCAGACACCCACACAGGGATTTGCGTAGTTTCTCCAGTGGCAGCTTCAGATGGGAAATCCGTGAAGCATGGGTGTCCTGGCTGTCAGTGTCTTTCACAGAGCCACACTGTGTTCTGGATCTACTGCACCAAGAGCCAGTTCTTTCCTTTTAGGCATTGTAGGGCCTCAGAGTGATCCAAGGCTCCCTAAATCATTCACATATGGGAATAGAAAAATCTTTGGTATACATTAGTCCTCTTCGAATGCTTGCTGAAAATCTGGGCGGGGTGTGGTGGCTCACACCTGTAGTCCCAGCAGTTTGGGAGGCCGAGCTGGAAAGATCGCTTAAGCCCAGGAGTTTGAGACCAGCCTGGGCAACGTAGTGAGACCTTGTCTCTATTTTAAAAAAGAAAAAAAATCTGGACAGCATCTCCTTGGTGCTTCTTTAGAACTCCATTCTCCCAGTAATTCTAGTAAGGGTTGTACAGAAGAGGTGATTTTGAGGACCTCTTATGTAGATAACAGGTTATAAAGTGAGTGTGTTGAACAAAATTGAAAATAGAGGAAAAAAAGGTAGTGTGTTCCAGAGTGCCTTTCTTTGGCGCTTGTTTTCTTCAACTCCTGTCAAAATTGCCCTGATAGGTAGAGATATTGCTTGCACATGTTCACCGGTAGCTTTTGCCTTGTCACACACCTGTTATGATAGCAGGGTTTCACTGTCTACAGATTGCAGGCCAGAGATTGGTATTCAAGTTTTCAATAAGGAAGAATTGCCCTAGGAAGGGCAAAGGCTTAGAATCAGACAGGTATGAGTCTGAATCCTGACTTTTTATTTACCAGCAGAGAAACCATTGACAGGTTATGTAAACTCTAAGCCTCAGTTTCTTCACCTACAAAATGGGTATAGTAATAACTGCCTTACAAGATTATTTTATTTTAGTTTAGTTTTTGAGACAAAGTCTCACTCTGTCACCCAGGCTGGAGTGCAGTGGCTGATTTTGTTTTGTTTTGCGTGTGTGTGTCTGTATTTTTTTTTTTTTTTTTTTGGAGACAGAGTCTTGCTCTGTCATCAAAGCTGGAGTGCAGTAGTGTGATCTTGGCTCACTGCAACCTCCGCCTCCCGGGTTCAAGCAATTCTGCCTCAGCCTCCCCAGTAGCTGGGATTACAGGCACCTGCCACCACACCCGGCTAATTTTTGTATTTTTAGTAGAGACAGGTTTTCACCATGTTGGCCAGGCTGGTCTCAAACTCCTGACCTCAAGTCATCTGCCCACCTCAGCCTCCCAAAGTGCTGGGAGCCACCATGCCTGGCTGTTTCTGTGTCACTTCTATTCCTGTGTCTGCATTTATACTCCCAAGCCTTCCACCCACCCTCCACCTTCTCAGTTGTCATTTCCCAGGCCTGAGAGTCTGTGCCTGGGGGTTGTGCTATCCATGGATGTTCATCTACACTGGGTCAGAACTCACCACCACAGCACGCTCTGTTTACTGATAAGACCATTCCTCTGCATGGCATATGAGGTATCTATGTCACTCTGAGGCCTCAAAAATGCTAAACATTCTTTTCTTCCCCTATAATATGACTTCCTCTTCGCACTTACACCTTCAAGTAAGTAGTTTAAGGAGGAGATAAAAATTTTACTGTTAAAAAAAGGAGATTGCTGGGTGCAGTGGCTCACGCCTGTAATCCCAGCACTTTGGGAGGCCGAGGCGGGTAGATCACCTCACGTTGGGAGTTCAAGACCAGCCTGACCAACATGGAGAAACCCCATCTCTACTAAAAATACAAAAAAAAAAAAAATTAGCCAAGCATGGTGGCACACGTCTGTAATCCCAGCTACTCGGGACACTGAGGCAGGAGAAATGCTTGAACCCGGGAGGCGGAGGTTGCGATGAGCCAAGATCATGACATTGCACTCCAGCCTGGGCAACAAGAGTGAAACTCCTTCTCATAAAAAAAAAAGATTGTTTGCCGGGCGTGTTGCCTCATGCCTATAATCCCAACACATTGAGAGGTCAAGGCAGGCAGATTACCTGAGGTCAGGAGTTCTAGACCAGCCTGGCCAACATGGTGAAACCTGTCTCTACTAAATATACAAAAAAAAAAAAAAAAAAAAAATTGGCCAGGCGTGGTGACACACGTCTGTAATCCCAGCTACCCTGGAGGCTGAGGCAGGAGAATAGCTTGAACCTGGGAGGCAGAGGTTGCAGTGAGCCGAGATTGTGCCACTGCACTCCAGCCTGGGCAACCGAGCTAGACTCCGTCCCCCCCCCACAAAAAAAGAAAAGAGTGTTAGTGATAAGATGCATGTTTTTGTTTATCTTATGTATGTGAATGTTATATTTATATGGCTGTTTGCCCATAGAAAATAAGTGTCGGCTGGGCATGGTGGCTTATGCCTGTAATCCCAGCCCTTTGGGAGGCCGAGGCGGGCAGATCACTTGAGGTTAGGAGTTTGAGACCAGCCTGGCCAACATGGTGAAACCCTGTCTCTGCTAAAAATACAAAAATTATCTGGGTATGGTGGCGTGTGCCTGTAATCCCAGCTACTCAGGAGACTGAGGCAGGAGAATCGCTTGAACTGGGGAGGTGGAGGTTGCAGTGAGCCGATATTGTACCACTGCACTCCAGTCTGGGTGACAGAGTAAGACTCTGTCTCAAAAAAAAAAAAAAAGGAAAAAGAAAAGAAGTATCAAGGAGAAAGCCACAGAATGGAAGATATGACAAAATACTGGGGTTAAATGATAGCTGTAATATATTTTTAAAATTGATATAAATACATAATCCCACTTGATAAATAATCAAAGCTGAGGAATAAGGAAACCTGGTAAAGGAAAGGCGGTAAATCATCACAAAGAAAAATGCCGTCTGCTGGCTTGGAAATCCAGGCCGTTTCAAATGACCCGTGTTAGATGAGGTGGAGCAAGTGTCCACAGAGTCAATGGCAGTCCTCTAGGGCCTGTCTTTAGGAGCCGGTTTGGAGTAATAAAAGGCAGCCCTCTGCTGAGCTCCTGTGTCGTGCCTGCTAGGTATTACGTACACTCTTTTCCTCAGCATTCCCGAGGCAAGTGGGCGTTACCCTCATATGACAGGCAGAGAAGCAGGCCTGAGTGGTTATGAGGCAGTGAGGTGTGTTTCCTTGGGCAAGTTGCTTAGCTTCTCTGAGCCTCAGTAGCTCCTCTGTCTGTTAAATGGGATCATGAAAACCCTTCACCATAAGCTGCACAAGCGCAAGAACACTAAGGCCCACCCCAAAGAGAAGGCCAAGCAGCAGGTGCTTGCAGAGCCTGAGATTCCTATGGACCCAGCAGCGACTCCCACCCTCGCCTGGGCTGTGAGCCACCTGGCTGATGCCCCTGCACCTCTGATGGCACTGAGACAAAGGAGAGATCTTGTCTTGGGTGTCTTGGGACTGTACCCATCGTCCCAGCCTGAGCCCAACTTGATGGAAGCTAGAAAAGTCATGCCATCCTTTTTTGTGTAATTCTTTCTTGGTGGGGAAATTCTGAGGTAACATTTTATGCCTGCTAATAGAGCCAAAAAAAAGTGTAAAGCCCATTGTTAGTAGAACGGTGGGGAAACAGCATTGCTTACATATCTCTAGCACTATAAATGTTGTTACAGGACAAACTAATAAAATATAAACAGTGATTAAGTTTTCATATACTTAGGCCCAGGAATTCCATATATTGAAATAGGGCACTTTCCTATGCATTCACTGGGTGGAGAGAAATTTTTAAATAAAGGCCTCAATGAAATAAGTCACCAAATTAGAAAGTAATTGATAGAAACATGTATTCATAATGCTGCCATTTATAGTTCTAAGGATTGGAAACCACCCAAATACCCAAAATAGAAAGCTAGCTAAACAAATAGGTAGACAATATCACTAATATAAGATGGGGCCCTACGCCGGGCATGGTGGCTCACGTCGGTAATCCCAGCACTTTGGGAGGCCTAGGTGGGTGGATCACCTGAGGTCAGGAGTTCGAGACCAGCCTGGCCAACATGATGAAACCCCATCTCTACTAAAAAGACAAAAAATTAGCGGGGCGTGGTGGCGGGTGCCTGTAATCCCAGCTACTCAGGAGGCTGAGTCAGGAGAATCACATGAACCCGGAAGGTGGAGGTTGCAGTGAGCTGACATTGCGCCATTGCACTCCAGCCTGGGCAGCATGAGTGAAACTCTGTCTCAAAAAAAAAGATGGGGCCCCATGGAGCTGTTTAAATGACAGTCATTTTGGTGGAAATGTTTATATGAGGGAATGTTACCTGTAAGAAGCAAAATATAAAATAGATTGCTCATATCAGTCACATCCGTGTATGTCTATTGATGAAGAGGAAAGGAAATTTGGACTGATAAGTAATTCATCATTTACTATTCTTTTGAATTTTCATCTCCATGAAGTTGCTTCTGTTCCTGATTTTCTTTTTTTTGAGACGGAGTCTCACTGTGTCACCCAGGCTGGGGTGCAGTGGCATGATCTTGGTTCACTACGACCTCTGCCTCCAGGGTTCAAGCAATTCTCCAGCCTCAGACTCGCGAGCAGCTGGGATTACAGGCATGTGCCACCATGCCCGGCTAATTTTTGTATTTTTAGTAGAGATAGGGTTTCACCATATTGGCCAGGCTGGTCTTGAACCCCTGACCTCAGGTGATCCGCCCGCCTTGGCCTCCCACAGTGCTGGGATTACAGGCGTGAGTCACTGTGCCTGGCCCCTGATTTTCTCTATAAAGGAGAGAATTGCCACATTCTTGTCATGAGACTTTATGACTTTTCCAAATTTCTGTGTGCGGGCATGACGCTGCCCAGGCAGGTGGCAAGCTCGCCAAGGACCAGGCTTAACAGAAAGCCTTTGGGACTTGACCCACTGCTCTTTGCTCAGCTTGTGATGGGAGAAGATTTTACTAAGTTGCACTGGAAGAGCTGGCTCTTCCCTTCCTCTTCACAGCTTCTCCCCTGCTTTCTAGGAAGATCAGCCCATCTACTTGGCAGTGAAGGGAGTGGTGTTTGATGTCACCTCCGGAAAGGGTAAGTGGTGTGGCATTTTGAATCTTCATTTCCAGGGAGCACAGAAGCCAGAGTGAGCAGCACTTGGAGGTGTGAGGAAAGGGAGGGAACATTAGGCAAGTCCTTTTCATTCCATTTTATTTTATTTTATTTTTTGAGACGGAGTTTCACTCTGTCACCCAGGCTGGAGTGCGGTGGCACGATCTTGGCTCACTGCAACCTCTGCCTTCTGGGTTCAAGCAATTCTCTGCCTCAGCCTCCCGAGTAGCTGGGATTACAGGCACCACCACCACCGCTGGCTAATTTTTTTGTATTTTTAGTAGAGACGGGGTTTCACCATCTTGGCAAGGCTGGTCTTGAACTTCTGACCTTGTGATCCACCCGCTTCGGCCTCCCAAAGTGCTAGTATTACAGGTGTGAGCCACCACACCTGGCCTTCCTTCCATTTTAAATGAGCAGATTGAGTTAATCTTTGTCAGTGTTTTACTTCAGCAGGGGCTTTTTTCCCCTGATAATGACATGCTTCTACTCAAAAGCCTTTCATGACTTTCCATTGCCTGTAGAATTAAATTCAAACTTAATGATTTACCCTAGTTGAAGCAATGAGAGAAGTGTTCTTTAGTAAAGAGTTGGCATTATAGAACATTACAGAACATTTTAGTGCCATTTAATGTAACTACTAATGATATCTTGGAGATAGTTTTGTATTGGTTTATCTATTATTTGATAACAAACACTGCTGAATGGGAATAGATTTGGCTTCCACCAACATTTAAGAAGAGGGAACATTTTTCTTGTTTGCATCTTTAATTTTTTTTTTGGAGACAGTCTCGCTCTGTCGCCCAGGTTAGAGTGCAGTGATGCGACCTTCTCCAGCTGCCAGGTTCAAACGATTCTCCTGCCTCAGCCTCCTGAGTAACTGGAATTACAGGTGCACGCCACCATGCCCAGATTTTTGTATTTTTAGTAGAGATGGGGTTTCACCATGTTAACCAGGCTGATCTTGAACTCCTGACCTCAAATGATCTGCCCATCTTGGCTTCTCAGAGTGCTGGGATTACAGGCGTGAGTCACCGCACCCAGCCTGCATCTCTAATATTTTTAAGAGACTATTTTCTCAGTATTAACACTTAGGTGAAAAAACAGAACGAGAAGGGGGCTAGGCACAGTGGCTTATGCTTGTAATCCCAGCGCTTTAGGAGGCCAAGGTGGGCAGATCATGTGAGCTCAGGAGTTCAAGACTAGCCTGGGCAACATGGTGAAACCCCATCTCTTCAAAAAAAAAAATACAAAAATTAGCTGGGCATGGTGGTGGCACATGCCTGTAGTCCCAGCTACTCTGGAGGCTGAGGTGGGAGAATTGCTTGAACCCGGGAGGTGGAGATTGCAGTGAGCCAAGATTGTGCCACTGCACTCCAGCCTGGGCAAGAGTGAGACCCTGTCAAAAAAAAACAACAACAAAAGAGGTTGTAGGGGTACTATTCTCATTTTATATTTTCTGAAAATCCCTGCTCAGCCTGCATGTGTGACTTACTTCACATTTAGAGTAAGTGGAATCCAACCTGATGGCTGGGGTGGCTTACTGGACTTTGTATCGCCATTGTTTGGCCTCTCCGTGAGCGTGGAGTCTTTTTTAGGATTGGGTGCGGGCCTTGGGAGCGCCCCCACGTGCAAGCTCCTGGTTACTCTGCATGTAAACCCACGCTTACGTCTCTTCCTTCCTTCCCACTACAGAGTTTTATGGACGAGGAGCCCCCTACAATGCCTTGACGGGGAAGGACTCCACTAGAGGGGTAGCCAAGATGTCCTTGGATCCTGCAGACCTCACCCATGACACTGTGAGCCAGATTATAAGCCTTTGTAAAATCCTCTACCTCCTTGTCCATGCCTTTTTCTCTTTTTCTTTTTCTTTTCGTGTGTGTGTGTGTGTGTGTGTGTGTGTGTGTGTGTGTGTGTGTGTGTGTATCTGGGCAAGAGCAAGCCTTCCTAATTAGCTTATTTACCCTTCGGTCCACTTGGTATGGTGGCCAGGCATTTTCTTGAAATAGATTATCCTACCATGTCATCTCGACTCAGAAACCTTCCATGGCTGTCTGTTGCCTAGAGTCAAGTCCAAACTCTTATGAACTTGTGATCCAACTCAGTGATCATCACAATTTGGCCCCAACCTGCTTTGGCAACCTAATGCTCCTTATGGTCTGTACCTGCCACCCCATCCCCTCAGCCCCTTACAGCCTTGCTATTAGTCTCTGAGACCCATTCCCCAGGCCATGCTTGGTAGCTTTGTGGATGAACTGGGTTGGGAAGAAAGGTCTCCCTCTATGCTTATATTTCTGTGAAGGAGAAGATAGCATTAAAACATTTTTTAGGCCAGGAGTGGTGGATCATGCCTGTAATCCCAGCACTTTGGAAGGCAAAGGCAGGTGGATCACCTGAGGTCAGGAGTTTGAGACTAGCCAGGCCAGCATGGAGAAACCCCGTCTCTACTAAAAATACAAAAATTAGCTGAGTGTGGTGGTGCACACCTGTAATCCCAGCTACTTGGGAGGTTGAGGCAGGAGAATCGCTCGAATCCAGGGGGCGGAGGTTACAGTGAGTTGAGATCATGCCACTGTGCTCCAGCCTGGGCAACAGAGTGAGACTCCATCTCAAAAAAAAAAAAATTTGTTTTTTAAACCTATTCAAGGTCTAAATAATTCCAACAGTAAGGCTGGAATTTCCTCTAACTGTGCTCAACATCAAACTGACATTGAGATAAATTGAGATGAGCCAAACTCATAACAAAATGAATGTAACAATATTACAAAAATGAATGAAGAACTTAAGAAAGGGGAAGGTGCCAAATGTATAATGGGAGGAGTGTAGAGAGAGGGATAATGGGAGCAGTGTAGAGAGAGGGAGGATTAATCGGGGGGAGGAAGGGGATGCAGATGCAATAGGGCATGCCCTGCCCCACCCCAGCATGCTCTCTGGAGTCTTTCATCCCTTCCATCAGTCAAACCACAAAGTGTGATGAAGCATTGCTCCCCGTATGTTATACCCTCCCACCCCCACGCCCCCCCCACAGCAGTGTCTCTTAAGCCATTTGTCCATTATTTGGTTTGTTGAGATATCTTTTCTCTTGCATTAGGGATGTGGGAGGCAAGGCAGGGATGGAGAAAGGCCAGTGCCAAACACTATCCACTTAACCCCATCTCCTGTCTTTCTTGGGCTTTTCTCCCCAAGACGGGTCTCACGGCCAAGGAACTGGAGGCCCTGGATGAGGTCTTCACCAAAGTGTACAAAGCCAAATACCCCATCGTCGGCTACACTGCCCGGAGAATTCTCAATGAGGATGGCAGCCCTAACCTGGACTTCAAGCCTGAAGACCAGCCCCATTTTGACATCAAGGATGAGTTCTGATGTTCCCCCTGCAGGAGCAGGTTCTTGGGAGCGTGAGGCAGGAAGACACTAGGTGCTGAATCTCCTGCAAAACTGGCTGCCTGGAGGCCCTGAGCCACCCAGATCTGAATAAAACAGATGCTTACCCTGGAAGAGCAAATGCCTCCTGTTGTCCTTGGTCAGGGGTTCTGTCTACCTGGGGACCCCTGTCTGCACACCAGGGATCAATAAGAGCCAAAGTGGGACACCTCCTAGATGTCAGTATCAGCTGGCTGGGCAGTGGAATTTTGAGCGACCTTTACTTTATACTTTTCTGTGCTTGACAGATTTTCAGCCATGACCATGTTCACTTTATAATCAAAACAAAAATAAAGGTCCCATTTTTACAAAAGGAGAATTCTTCCCCAGAGGCCATTTCCTTGGAGCCCACATAAGCGGGTGGGCTGTGTTGTTCTTCCATAGTCCTGCGGGGCCGGATGGTGGGGCATTTAGGCAATGGGCAGGAAAAGAGAGTGGTGAGGTGGGAGGGTGGGCGATGGGAAGGGAGCCAGGAAACCCGGCTGGAGTGAGGGTGGGAACTGGCTTCAGTGCACGTGCAGCTGGAGATTGGTGAGGAGGGCCGGGGTCAGTGTGGGCAGAGCCTGGTGGAGGTCATTCCAAGAACGGGAGGCATATTCCTTATGCTGGACTGAGGTCAGATTTTAAGAGGAAGCCCCTTTTGTTAGAGTGGGCAGATTTTTCCCTCTGGGGACATTGGGTGATGTCTGGCAACATTTTTTTTTTTTTAATTTTTGTCTGTCATGACTGCAGGATGCTACTGGCATCTCGAGGCCAGGGATGCTGGTCAACATTCTGTAATGCACCTGACAAAGCATCATCCGGTCCGAAATTTCACCCATACTGAGGCTGATAAATACTGTGTTAGATGGATCCTGGACATTTTACAGTGGAGATGAATTTCCTTGACATAAAACTTGTATTTTATTAAAATAAATAGCAACTGCCCCCAAGAGAGAATTTTCACATTAAGCAGAATAATCTGTTAAGGTGATTGTTCAAAATGTTGACTCCTGGGCCCCACCTCCTAGCGCTTAGGATTCAGTATTTCTAGAACATGGCCTGGAACAGTGCTTGTAGTGAGCTGCTCAGGAAGTTGTGATACAAACAGGCCCAAACACACTTTGAGA
The DNA here is from genome assembly GCF_000001405.40 of Homo sapiens. NCBI lineage: Eukaryota > Metazoa > Chordata > Mammalia > Primates > Hominidae > Homo > Homo sapiens. The sequence continues at coordinate 212,447,173 of NC_000001.11, forward strand.
CACCACCTTATTGCCTTATCAGTCATCGCAAGGACAACTCAGATCCTTTTTGAGGGCAAGGTTTGACCTTTAATGTGTTCCAGGGCTGGGGAGTCTAATGGTAAACCTCTGGGTTGCACTGAAGAAGATGGGAGCTTGATGGCCATCCAAGAGTAACGCGCTTGGATCTTATCAGATAGGACTTTTTGGCCTAGAATTCTAGAAGTTGCTTATGCAGCCAAGGTTGTCTGTAGCGGACATTTTGCCCCAAAACAGGATGTACAAATAAATACAAATGGTGTCCAAGTCCTTGGGAATAGTCGAGAGATGACTTCTTTTACTTATGTGCCCACCACTCCCTACATCACTATGTAATGTGGGGTGGGAGGGTGGGTAGAATTCCACTCCTTAGACACAGATTTCTGCAGTGAATCAAGGTCTCCAAATTCAGGCTCTGGGAACTTCCCAACACCACTGTTTGCCCCACTCCTCACCTTTGCCCCCATGAAGGCAGTTTTCCCTCATGGTCTCAGGCTCACCACCCCTCCCAGGATTACCCTGCCCAGTTCCCTGAGTGCACATCAAAAGCTGCCAGCCAGCCAGGACAGTGTGCAAGAAATCGGCAGCCTGTGTGGGCTCTAGAAAGGGTGGGTGCAACCCCAGGGGAGGAGGCACAGGCCGGCCTGAGGATTCTGCATCATTGAGGTCTGCAGGGCCTAAAAGTCTCGCACAGACCCTGGGAGGCCTGAAGTCCCTGCGTCATGTGCCCCCTGCTCCTATGTCTATTTATAATGTTTTTCTTTTTCTCTGAAGGCTCATATCCTCCTTTTAAGACTCAGCCTAGGTGCACCTGTACCAGGAAGCCTTCCCCCTCCTGTGTGATCCCCTTAGCCTAGACTCACCTGCTTTGCTGTGATTGCCTGTTTGTGAGCCTGTCTCCTTCAAACAGGGGCATCTTATGGGCCCAGCACACTCTCCTACAGTGACCAAACTTTCTTTCTTTTTTTTTTTTTTTCACTTTTCATTATCTTATCTCATTGGAAATTATACATAATGTAAACGGTAGAACGTGATTCACTGATTTTTTTTTTCCTTAGTTTAATACAAGTGTGCTTCACTTTAAGCAAAATATACTAAATGATTTCTGAGACAGGAGTTTCCTTACTTTTTCAGTTAAAAAGATTTGCTTACAGAATTTCTTTAAATAACAAGGCTTCTTTGGCCGGTTTAGAGTATTCAGATCACAGAAATTGATTTCACACACAACTTCTTTGAAATACCTACATTGCATAAAATGAGGCACACAGATACATGTGCCCATTCCATCGAGATTGCCTCATTATTTTGTGTTATTTTATATTTTTCATTTTGTCATTATTAACACTTTAGCATACCAGGTTCATTCACTCTCTATTTTAGTTGAGATGAGTTAGTGTTTCTAAGGAGTGTTTCGTAATCTCTTGTCCCAAACTAGGCTAGTTTGGGAATCCAGTGAGAGTGACTGAAAACTGAAATTCAAGTCCTGAACATCCTTCCAGAACACAGCCTATCACCCTGTGGAGATAACACACAAACTATCTCAGAGGACCCCCACCTGTGGAAGTGAAAATCATGTGAGAGTCATAGTTCAAAAGAAAAAAGTGCTGGGCACCGTGGCTCATGCCTGTAATCTCAGCACTTTGGGAGGCCGAGGTGGGAGGATCACTTGGGCCCAGGTGTTTGAGGCCAGTCTGGGCAACAGAGGGAGACCCTGTCTGTACAAAAAATTGGCCAGGTGTGGTGGCTCACGCCTGTAATCCCAGCACTTTGGGAGGCTGAGGTGGACGGATCAGCTGAGGTCAGGAGTTTGAGACCAGCCTGGCCAACATACAGTGACCAAACTTTGATTTGCCTGGGACTTTCCCGGTTTTAGCACTGAAAGTCCTGCATCCCGGAAAACAAAACCCCTCTGTCCTGGGCAAACCTGAGGACTGACCGGCACCAGCAGCGGAGTCAAGGCCTCCTCCCAGCTGTGGGGCTCTAGGGCTTCATGCCACCCTGGGATGAAGAAGGAGGGAGGACGTTGGGAGAGCGCAGGGGGCTGGGTTTTTGCCAGTCCCTACAAGTTCCAATTCAACATCTCCAACAGGAAGCTCAATGCCTGGTCTGCAGAAGGTGCTCAGTGCATGGAGTGTTGTTGATATTGGTGTAATTTGTGAAGTTCTCCACATTTAAATTCCTTCTGCTGAGGTATAGCCCCTCCCTGCCCTCTCAGAGGAAACGTGTTTCCTTGCACCCCAGAATGCTGATCAGTACACTTCCCTCTCTGAGCTCCTGGGGCCTGGGGCACAGAGCCTTCCCCCCTTGCAGATGGCTGGGGGTCAGCCCCCATGCCATGTAATGGGAGAAAAGGAAACAAGGTTTTGCTGTGTGGAGCCTGCTTCTGTATTTCAAACTATTGAAATAAGACTGCTAAGGGCCAGGCACAGTGGCTCACGCCTGTAATCCCAGCACTTTGGGAGGCTGAGGCAGGCGGATCACCTGAGGTCAGGAGTTCGAGACCAGCCTGGCCAACATGACAAAACCCCGTCTCTACTAAAAAATAGAAAAATTAGCTGGGCATGGTGGCAGGTGCCTGTAATCCTAGCTACTCGGGAGGCTGAGGCATGAGAATCACTTGAACCTGGGAGCCGGAGGTTGCAGTGAGCTGAGATCGTACCACTGCACTCCAGCCTGGGTGACAGACGAGATTCTCTCAAACAAACAAACAAACAAACAAACAAACAAAAAAGACGGCTAAGAATTAAATGCCCCAGAGGGTAAGTGATGGAGTTGATTGTCCCAAAGAAGAGCAGGGCAGAGGGGTCTGACCAGCAGACCAGGTCCCTAGAGGTGGAGGCTGTGCAGAGGTCGCCTGGCCTAAAGTCTGGCCCAGGCCCCAGCCCTATCCTGGACCCAAGATGCTCACCCCATACCTTAGGCATCTGCTCCAGGGGGTTTCCTCACCACCACTACCCAAGGGCCTGAACAAAGCAAACTCATCCTCTACATTGGCTTCCTTCAGAAGCCTGCTTTTCATGCCCCAATCTCCAAAAAGCATGGTCCACTGGGCACCGCCAGCCTCCTGAGATGCTGCTGTGAGGGGCTGAAGCTGGAAATCCATGGCTGGAACCTGGCCCCTGAGAGGCAATGAGTGCCCTGGTTCCAGGCCCTCCCCTGGATCACTGTGATGACCAGAGATCACCTGCAGGGCCCAGAGAATGCAGCTGGCCTTCTGATGGATGGTGGCTTCCAGCACACTAGGGCCACACTAGGGCCTTGCTCAAGCAGGCCTGGAACTCCACAGGCTTGACTGGAGAGGCCTGAGCAAGCCAGTGGGCAAAGTGACCGACCAGGCAGAAGTTAGCCCTGTGGGCCTCTGTCCAGGACATCAAATGCAATCATTGCCTGGAGGATTATTTAATGCCATGTTGTATCGGTCATCTTTTATGCTCCATTTCACAGCCTGTCAGCCCAGCTGTAATCTCTCAGTGCCTGATTTAGCTTTCTTGCCTGGGCTTCTCTGCCAGGCAGAGCTGCTTAAGCTGTTCTGGGACAGCTGCAAACCGGCAGGTGCAAGGAATTAACATCCTCTCGGGGCAACCTGCAGCTGATAGGGGATGAGTAGACACATTCTCCCCACAGCCCTGAGGCTCACTCTACAGCTTCTTCAGAAGGCCCCCAGTGATATTGAGCCTCAGCTGCCCACAGTGGTGTCAGCTTAACAACACAGCCATAGACTGGCCAAGCCTCCTTCCCAGTTTCATTCTTCCCAGTCCCTGATGCCTGAGCCCATGGATCACTTTCTAGATGTGTGTTCCTGCATGCAAACCTTTGTTGCAGTTTCTGCTTTTGGGAAGAACTCAGCCTGAAACACAAGTTTACTTCCTCAGATACCGACACATCCTGTTGTGCCAAACTCAGATTTACTAATAACATTTTACACATGCATAGTACTTTACAGCTTACAAAGTTCTCATTCTAGCTACGACAGCTGTGTAACCAGTTGCCCTAGAACTTAGTGGCATCACTATGACGACATCACTCAGGATGGAGCCGCTCATGATGCTCAGAGATTTTGTGTGCCGGGGACTGAGAGGGTGCAGTGGGCATTGCCTTTCTGCCCCTGATGTCTGTGGCGGGTGTCACATGGAATGATGAGGGCTCACTCACATTTCTGGCGAGTGGTGCTGGCTGCCAGAAGCTCTACTCCTCTCCATGGGTAACTTCTCACAGCATGGTGGCAGGACTGTCCCTCCTCAGCCTCTGAAGTCAGGCAGCATCATTTCTGTTCACCAAGGCAGGCAAGCACAAAGTCTCACCTAAGGTCAGGGAGCATGGGGCCATTTTGGGAAAATACAATCCCCCATGGTTACTTCCCACATTATCTCCTTTGATTCTCACAAAAGAGACTGTATCTAATCTTTGAATCTGCAGTGCTGAGGTCAAATAGCAGGTGTGCATGCAGTAAATCACATTTGCCTTGTGGACAGAGACAGGTTTTAGAGTCAGACTGATCTGCCTTTGAATCCTGGTTTCATCACTTAGCACCTGTATGATCATGGAGAAGTAATTTAGCTTCTCTGAGCCTCAGTTTCCCAATCTTTACAATGAGGGCCAAAATACTCATTTCCCTTGCTGATGCTAGAATTTGATGCAGTTGTGTGTGTAACATGCCCAGCAGGCTCCTGACACCTGTGGGATGTTCGGCTTCTCTCTCTTTCTTCCTCTTCTACTCCATCCTACCTCCCACCTCCCACCTCTTGCACTGATGAGCATCTTGGACTTCCCAGCAGGTGCAGGGACATAGGTGAGCAGAAAGCATTTAGACACGTGTCCAGGGTCTTGACAACAGGCTGGAGTTTGGAAGAAGTCCGGATAAGCAGCTACAGTGCCCTCTGTCTTCCTCATCCCTGGACACATCCCGCCCAGCCCAGAACTGAGAGCATTAACTCAGCTCCTCCGATGGAAGACTCCCTCGTACAGCCTCAGAGTCTCAGGTTTCCCAGGTGCCCTATAGATTCTCCCAGAGTCCCAAGGGCAGTGGGAAAGCCTGCTCCTCTCTCCCAGGGGCCTTGCCCAGACTGCAGTCTTGCTGCCAGAGGCCTAATAGCTGGTGTTCTGGGTGTACCACTGTGGTGCAGTTTGTCTCACCCCCAACCCCCTGATGGTTTGGGTCTCTACAGCTTTCCACTTCCCACTGGGTTGGGCCCTAGTCCTGACTCCAGAAGTGAAGTGACTTTTGTTCCAGAAGGTGCGGTATTCACAGTCTCCCCTGGGCCTTTGCACATGCTGTTGTTCTTCTGCCTGGAATGTTCTTCCTACTTGCCCACATTGCATGTAAAACCCTATCTTGGCTTAGATATTACTTCCTCAAGGAAGCTTTCTCAGACCTCTCCCTGCCAAGGTGGGCACACAGTACCTGACTTGCCCCTGCGGTATCAGATCTCACTGAACTGTAATTGTATTTACTTTGTGTTTTCCTCCCCACCAGGCGGGGACGCACTTGCCCCATTCACAACTGTATCACGTAGCACAAGCCCAGCACCTTTGATGTGAGATAAAAATGAATGCATTGGCAAATGGACACGTGGTGAATGAATGAATGAGGCGATGGATTGGTGCTCCCTCACCCAGGGCACATGCCTTCCTTGCAGCCCTCTTTCACCCCTTACTCAGGGGTGTGCATCTGATTCCTGAAGCATCAGAGCGGCTCCCCACCCTCCAGCCAAGTTTCCAGCAGAGCCTGCCTGGGCATCGCTTCCAGGATTACTCCTGGACCAACTTCGCCTGAGCATTTCTGCAGCTTCATCATCTGGGGAATGTATAAAAATAGTAAGTGGTTCCCCTGGCAACCACCACAGCAAATGGTAACTAGGGTGGGCGGTCCAGGAAAGCCTCGAGGCTGGGAGGAAAACAAACGCCGCCCTCACTGCTCACTCTCCAAATCTTGGCTGGCCAGCGTGCCCTCTGAGCTGCCTCTCCTAGTCTCATGGCTTCCTGGAGACCACCTGCTCTGAAGCCCAAAGGAAAATAATGGGCTGGAGGAGCTGCCCCATCAGCCCAGACCATCCGCCCCGTCAGTCCCTGGGCTGCTGCCCCTGCGCCCTCTCTGTAGGGTCACCAAGGGCCTCTTCTGGCTGCCCTGCCCTGTCCAGTGCCTTATCTGGGTAGTCAGAGGACTTCAGAAGCTGCCAGCGGGAGACTCAGCCTTGCTGCCAGGGTCTAATATCGTGTGTGCATGTGTGGACCCCTTGTGCTGGGCTGACCAAGCCCCTTCACGACAGTTTGGTCTCTGCCCAGGTCTTCAGCTTCCCTGCCCTCCAGCCGGGCTCATGGCCTAGCTCTTGCAAGTTTACCCCTCCACCAAAGTTTAGTGTAGGTGCTGCCCAAGGCTCAGATCTTGTCACCACTACCTCCTCTCTGGGATGATTAGAGGGCATGGGGCTTCTGCATGCTAAACCCTTGGGGTGACAGTTGGGAGCACGGGCTGGGAGGGTGCTGGGAAGGCATTGCCAAGCTGGCTGCAAACCGTCCACAGGAAGCCAGGCTCTAGGAGATCCTGAGAGAGGGAAAATCCAGCAGCTGAGACACTAAGCGGGGCTGGAGGCAGAACCTGGAGCGAGTGTGACCCTGAGGTGTCAGGGAGCGGAAGCCTAAGGTCTCCAGTGGGTGGCTGGTGGGTGCAGCTATTTCAGAGTAGCCTGATCAGCCAGGCTGCTGCTGTCTTTTCCCTGTGTGTGAGCCAGGCTTTTGCTCCCCTGCTGTCCCCCCGCCCCCTTGGCTGCAGTTACCTCTACCCTGTCCTTGCCTCTCCCAGCTGAAGCCTACTTCCTGCCTCACTGCCCCTGCCCCTGCCTCTTGTCCAAGTCGGTGCTGATGGTCATTGCAATAGCGGCACTGGGCTAGCATGAGCCAGGTGCTGGCATGCCATGTTTGCGGCTTAATTTATTCTCTTCAAGGTGGTACTAACATTTGGTTGGGTCTTAGGAAGCATAAGTAACTTGCAAGGGAAACTACACCTCTGACAACTGAGAGGTGCTGGAGCTGAGATTCCAAGGCAAGTCTTCCTTCCAGCCTGGCCACTTTCCATTCTGCCCTGTTGTGCTTCAAGATCGAGCCTTCCAGGGAGCTCCACCCCAGGGCCATTGGAATTAGGATGTGGCATGCCGAGCTGGTGGCAGAGACTCTAAAATCATAGCCAGGGAAGGTACCTGGAGGTCCTGTGGAGAGAGACTCTACTTCTGTGTGTGTGTGTGTGTGTATGTGTGTGTCTGTCTGTCTCTCTGTCTCCCAGGCTGGAGTGCAATGGTGCAAACTGCAACCTCTGCCTCCTGGGTTCAAGTGATTCTCCTGCCTCAGCCTCCCAAGTAGCTGGGATTACAGGCACCTGCCACCACACCCGGCTAATTTTTTTACTTTTAGTAAAGACAGAGTTTCACTATGTTGGCCAGGGTGGTCTTGAACTCCTGATCTCAAGTAATCCTCCTGCCTCGGCCTGCCAAAGTGCTGGGATTGTAGGCATGTGCCACTACACCTGGCCTTGTTTTGCTTTTTTTTTTTTTTTTTTTTTTTAACACATAGTTTAATCCTTTAGTTAACAAGTATTTCTTGTGCTCTAGTCTTCACAGAATTCTGTGGTGAACAAGACCTGCTGTCATTTGAGAGAGGCTCTCTCGGACTAAGGATGTGTGATACAGGCTCAGGGTACTAAGCCCCATGGCATCACCCAGAGGGAGGTCGTGGGACCCAGGCCCACCTGTGGGAGCTCAGAGCCTGCTGGTGGCAGCTGCAAGCCACCCCAAAGATAGGAGAGGTCATAGTGGCTGTGGTGGCCGGTGATGCCCACCTGGAGGCCATGTGAGCTGTGGCTGGGACTCCCTTGTCTAATCTCCCCCATATTTCTGGATTTGGCCTCCACATTGAGGAATCTCTTACTACTCAGGATCCCTGAAATACATCTGTTGCCTTCCTGCCTGAGCCCTCTCACTTCTTCCCCTTTCCCGTTTATCCATGACCCTCCCCTTAACTGTCACTCATAACCTCTGTCTGATTCACACCACTGCACTCTCTCTGCCATTCCTTCAAAGATCAAGCAGTTTCCTTCTGTTAAACAAAATGTATGGGAGGCCATTATTTGGACTGACCTCCTGCATTAGGGTCCAACAGACCCATCCAAAATGGAGTCACTCACACTAAGGTTCCGCACCACGAAACCAAAAACGAAGCTGTTTACTTGGATCTGAGCTTCTGAGAAATCAGGAGAGAGTTGATAGTCATATCCCATTAGGCTAACAAGATCCTCAATAAGGAAAGTAACTTTGAAACGGCCAATCTGCATCTTATTTCTTGTTTTGGCTTTCTTCAGCCTTTTCTGCCTATAAGCTCAGCCCTTAGCTCAGCTCATGGGAGTTCCTTTTTATTTTGTAGACTGGATACTGCCCAGTTCATGAATTGCTAATAAAGGCAAACTAGACCTTTACAGCTCAATTTATTGAAATTTTGTTATTTGATACGTCCCACAATTTAACAATTGCACCTGATTTCACATATCCATTAATCAACAAAGGAGATGCATATTTCTTGCTTATTATATGTCCAGCACTGCCCTAGGTCCTGGTTTTGGGGTGAGGTGGGAGGAAGGATCGATTAAAATAAATGCAGGAACCTGCTCTGCTCTTAAGGGTCCCCAAAGAGGAGAGCAGTGGGCTGAGTTGCAAAGTGGTTTCTCTAGGACCAGGAGCTGTGGAGATCCACAGGGATCCCAGCCACAGAGTCCCCAGCAAGGCAGGCTTGGGGTAGGAGCTTGCTGAAGGGTGTTGGTTTTTTCTTGGACACTTCTGTCCTGGTCCGACCCACCAGCAGCTGCCTGCATGGGACGACAGTGCCCCCTGGTGGTCAATTCCGGGAACTCTCCAGCAGCTGTTTTGTAAAGCCCAGAGGATTAAGCTCCCTCAAGAACTTCTATTTTTGGTTCCCAGTATTTCCATAATGAAATGCTAACAGAAGCAGCCAAATGGCTTCCCAAAGGACCTGAAAGCTGCACTGCCGAACTCCTGTGTTCTCCAGCTCTCTGCTTCCCAGGGGTCAGATCTGCTGTTGGTTCTCAGGGGCAGTTCTCTGTTCCATACGGTTTAATTAAAGGGTCCCAGGGAGAGCAACTATATGTTTGCCTTGCCGAGTCTGACCTCAGGCTGTGTGCACATTCAGAGTGACGTGTTGGAAAGAACACTGGATCCAGGATCAGGAGGCTCATCCCACGCCAGCCGCTAAGTAGCTGTGAGATAATAATTTCAATAATAGCTACATTTTATTCAGTATTTACTCTGAGCCAGACATTGCACCAAGAGCTTCACATACATTGTTGACTTTGATCCTCACAACAAGCCTGTGAGATTGATACTGCTGTCATCTCCAGAAATCGAGGCAGAGAGAAGTCAAGTAACTTGGCCAAGATCATACAGTATGTGGCAGAGTTAGGACTTGAGTTCATGTTTCTGGGCATCCACTATGCTACACTGAACTGTGGAACTCAAAGAATCGGAAACTAGTGGTAGTGTCCAGACACTGATGTTTTTAAATGTTCCCCAGGTGATGGTGATGTGGAGCCACCTTTGTAATCTATAGGGTCCCACCAGCTATAACACTCAATGAGCCCCATGCCTTCCAAGAAGCAGAGGTGAAGTTGGGATGAGGGGAGAAGCCTGGGTTCAGGCCCTAATCTCCATGGATGTACAGGGCTGAACAGAGTCACAAGCACAGCAGAAACACCATGATGGCAGAGCAGTCATCCTGCCTGCTGTCCTCTTTATCTGGAGATGGTTTGTAGGACAGGAGAGCAATTGCCTTCCACAACATTCCTCAGAGTTCGTTATGTCGCATACACCCCAATCTACAGATCCATCACCTGTCCATTTATCTCAATGCCTCTAGAGCCATTTTCTATTTTTTAATAGATTCATTTGACAAACACTTGAGACTTATGATGTGCCAGGCCCTGAGTCTGCAGGGGTGGAAGAAGCTGGCATGGCCCCACTCTTGTGAGTTGGCAATCTAGAGGAGGAGATAGACAGACAGCACATTTTGGAAAAAAAAAAAGCACACTGTGACACATGCTCTGAACGACACAGCAATGCACAGTGGTGGAAAACAATAGGAGAGCAGAGGGACCTAATAAGACAGAATGAGCTGGGATTAAGCAGAGACCAGAAGAATGTGTTTAGTGTGTGCCTCCTGTTGGTAAATGAGCTCTGTTGTGTTCACTACACACTGGGCAGTTTGGTGCAGAGCTTGCTTTTCCCTGGGCCTCTACTGGAGTCCCCTCCAGGAGACATGGGGTGGCTGCTGTTGACATTTTCTCCCTGAAAGCCCAGGTATCTCTCCAGAGATGGAGAACTCTGAGCTTCCTTTTTACAGAAAGGACTCAAACTGGTGGCTGTTTGGGGATGGGACGATGATGGGTGATGTTTGAGGCCGGAGTTTCAGAATCAGAAAAGTCTCTGTAGTCAAGGCCTTGAGGTTTGCTGACTTTGCGTGACACCCAAAGCGTAGGACCCACAATCAAATCTGTGGAGAGGGCGCTTGTGGTCCATGTGTAGGTGTATACCTGTGAGCATAGGCAAGTGTGCGTGCACACATGTGTGCATGAGAGCAGGCTCAGGCTTCAGCTCCTGGTCACTCTAGTCCTTCTTCTATTCTCTCTTCTTTGATGGTAGGGCTGGGACTTGGCAAACCACTTTTGGCTTTGGCAGCTGCTTCCTATCGGATTCAGCCAGTAGGGGGTGCTAGAAGGACACTGGAAAGCTGGAGGGAAGCCCTCTTTTTCTTGTTTACTTCTGTTCTTGTAAGCGGCTCCGGTAGTACTTCTTCACCCCGGCAGCAGCAGTTCCTTACCATAGCAGCAGCTAAATTCAGTTTACAATCTTTCTAACACTTGTAGAACTAACTTCACCCCTAATTCAGAGGCCAACACCAGCCGGCAGGCACCCCCCACCTCACCAGATGTCTGGTTCCAGCCCCACAAGGTGCTCCTGTCTCTAAGTTTTAATCATTCCAAATGCACCCCTTTGCTGCCTCGTCCTTGGGGTGGTAGTGCTTCCTCCATGATACCTTCTTAGCATCTCTGACATTAGTGTTAAGGGGTCCCAACCCCTAACATGAGTTTCCTGGACTGTGGGGGGCCTTTTGTGCCCTTCTGAGCCCTGGGGAGATCAAAAGCAGTTGTCTAACCCCTCGGTGGTTAGTAACTGCTCTACTCTGAGAAAGAAGGGCTGGCTTATCCTTGGAGAGGCCAGTAATTCTGTTCTCAGCTCTTCTCTCTGCGGGCCTCCACATCTCAGGAAGAAAGGACAGGTGCCATCTCAGTTCCAGTCATCTTAGCACACGCCTCCCTCTCTGCCTCCCTGCTGATCTGCACCTTAGCTGTGGCCTGGCCTGGTCTCAAAATGCTCCCAGGAGGAGAGGCCATGGCCTTCTCCATGCCCACCCTCCCTCACCAAGTGTGAGCAGAACTGATGGAGAAGCTGGGCCGAGGGAGGAGAGAAACTCGAGTGGGAGACCTTGGGGCCGTTGGGAGAGGGTACAGAGAAGGTTGCTGCCTCAGATGCCGTGGGTTTCTGTTTCCTTCCCCATTAGTGTCTTTCTCATGGAGAAAATCTGTTTTCCTTGAAGTAACTTGACTGAGTCTTTGACTGGTTCTCCTTTGCAAGGTGAACCCAAGAAAGAAAAGAAAAGACAAGGAACCCAACATCCACAGAGGACCTGCTATGTGGCAGGAAGTGCTGGGAGCCCTGAACACATGTATGGCCCTCCTCGAGGACTGACTGAGCAGCTCTGGCTGATGGGGGTGTGGCTGAGGGGGAGGAGGGGAGGGGCTAGGAAGACAGTCTCAGAAGAAAGAATAATGAACACTAGATGTGAAAACTTCCACAAAGCAGGTGGCCCACCAGGCAGGATCAGAGCAGTTCCCTGCCATTATAGAGTTTCCTTTTGCCTAGCTCTTCTGTGTTTGTATTGGGGTGGTGTGTGTGGGGGGAACACAGTTTTGTTTTGATCATTTATAAAGCTTTACTGAGGTATAATAGATACACAAAAAAATCACATACATATAAAGAGTACATCTTGATGAGTTTGGACATATGCATACACCTGTGATACCATCACCAAAATTTAGGTACTAAACATCTCTATCGCCTCCAAAAATTTCCTTGTGTTCTTTTGTGTTTTGGTTTGTTTTTTTGGTAGTAGGAACACTAAACATGAGATCTATCCTCTCAACATATTTTAAAGGGTGCAATTCTGTATCGTTATCTACAGGCACCATGTTGTACAGCACATCTCCAGAACTTACTCATCTCGCATAACTAAACTTTATACCCATTGAGCAACATTTCTCCATTTCCCCTTCCCCCAGCCCCTGGAAACTGCCCTTCTATTCTCTGCTTCTATGAGTCTGACTATTTTAGATACCCATTTAAGTGGAATCATGCAGTATTTGTCGTTCCGTGTCTGGCTTTTTTCACTTAGTATAAAACCCTCTTGGTTCCTCATGCTGTTGCAATTGGCAGGATTTCCTTCTTTTTTAAGGCTGAATAATATTCCATTGTATGTATTTGTCACATTTTCTTTATCTATTCATCTGTTGATGGACATTTGGGTTGTTTCCCTATCTTGGCTATTGTGAATAAGAAAAAAATACAGTTTCTCAACCCAAAGCAAACAAAGAAACATTGTGCAAAATATAAGTGTTGACAGAAAGGCAGGCCGGGAGGGTAAACAATGGCTGGCATACAGCACAGATCAGGCTTCTGAGAGAACCGTGATGCCCCGGGCACACCTCTTCTGCCAGGACTAGCTCACTGGGGGAATTTGTCAGTGCTGTGCAGACCCATAGGTCTCACCTGGTTCTGGTTTGTAGAGGGAGGCAGTGGGACCCAGGCCCACCAGTGGGAGTTCAGAGCCTGCTGTCAATTCTGCCTTTTCTGCCAGGGCTGTGTCTGAAAGGACTGATAAAAAATGCTCCTGTGTTTGGCTCTCTCTGCACCATTTTAAAACTCTTCGATAGTGATCAGCACAGCTATTAAAAGTATCAGGTGGAAATCAGCCACTCAGGGCTGACAGGTGGCTGATTCTGACCCCCACTCCCCAGCCATACATGTCTAGGGTAGAAACCGGTCACATAAACAGGAACTACAGTCTTTCTCAGGCTTTGCACTTGTCCCAGCCTCTGAGCAGGGCCTCTGGGCCTCCCTTTTGGGCTTGACCCAGCAAGCATCCTACCTGAGCTCACTCCTCACCTGCCCAACTCCAGCGATCTGGGGTGATATCTGCAGGAGCTGCCCTCAGTGCCTCCAAAGCTCGAGAAGGTGCTACATCACAGGTAGAGGGAGGGATGCTGCCTGTGAAGATTTCCTCCCCCACAGAGTGTCCCGGACTGCCGTGGTGCATGGCGCCCTCCTTGGAGGGGAGACACGTGCATCTGCCCTGGGCCACATGTCAGTTCTGACGCTGCATGGCCGTGTGCTCCCTGGGTCTCACCAAGATTCTTGGGCGAGCAGCCTTCCCTGTAGTCTCCTTAGGCTCAAGCCTTCAAGGACTAGGCTAGAGGCTGACCTGAGTGACCAGCACCAAGCGGTCCTCCAAGCTGTCCCTCCTCCTGGACCTCCCCAGCGGGGTGCTCATCACTCTCAGACCAAGACCTCTAGTCTTTCTCTTGGGATGAGTTATTTCTCATCCTTAGTCTCTCACACCAGTGTACTCCTGGGGTCCCAGCCCATAAGACATGTCTGAGTCTCCCCTATGCAAACACCCCACTGTGCACAGGTGTTGTTATCCTCATGTTGTGGGTGGGGAAACTGAGGCTCTGAATGTCAGATGACTTGCCTGAGGTCACTCAGAGTCTCCAGATCCCTAACACTGAGTCAGCCCTATGCTCACCACACAACGCTGTGTTACACACCACCTCACGGTTGTGGCTAAAAGTTATGCTTTGAGGTTGTCACCTGGCTCTGTCCAGGGACCCGCAGGCTGTTCTGAGGTTGGACTTTGGTGGTTCCCATGTAGGCCCAGCATCAGAATTGCCTGTGAAACTTTGAAAAACTCAGGTGCCAGGGCCTAAGCCCAGGGAATTCTGACTCACTAATCCAGGTGGGCTCAGGTGCACAGGTGTCTGTAGAGTCAATTCTCATTCTTCATGGTAGTTATGTTTTATAAAGTCTCTGTGAACACTGAATGAGCAGATACTGAACCTTTGCGCCTAGGGGAAACACAGGGTTAGATTTCTGCCTGCCTCTGGTTACAACCAGTACATAGCCTTGTTTTATGTGTATTTCTATTAAAGACACCTTCTTTACTCTCTACGGTTGACTCATTGACACTGAACTCATGGTCAACAGCACCATAACTTGTGTCTGAAAGAAGCTTGTCTGATACACGTGTTTTCTCTGTATGGGACATCACGGCCTTCTTGTGCTTAGGAACAAACACCAACACTCTGCTTGGGGGACATTAATTTTTTTTTTTATTTTCATAGGTTATTGGGGAACAGGTGGCATTTGGTTACATGAGTCAGTTCTTTAGTGGTGATTTGTGAGATTTTGGTGCACTCATCACCTGGGAAGCATACACTGAACCCAGTTTGTAGTCTTTTATCCCTCACCCCCTTCCCACTCTTTCTCCCTGAGTCCCCAAAGTCCATTGTGTCATTCTTATGCCTTTGCATCCTCATAGCTTAGCTCTCACTTATGAGTGAGAACAGACAATGTTTGGTTTTCCATTCCTGAGTTACTTCACTTAGAATAATAGTCTCCAGTCTCATCCAGGTTGCTTCGAATATGCTTAGGGGACATTTTAAACAGTGAAATCACCAACACAAAGCACAAAAGCATGAAAAATGTGGCACCAAATAGCCTGCGAAAAGGACACTTGTTTGCATTGTGGGAGCTGAAGCCAGCAGGCTGAGCGGGCCTTGTTCCACCCCCGCTGGGAATGTGCGTGTTGAGCAGCCCTCATTCTTCCCCACTCTGTGTGTGTCCGAGAATGACCCCAAAAGTGCAGCCAGTATTGATTTTGGGGTTACAGATACAATTTCGCAGGTAGGTGAATTTGTACATATGGAATCCATGAATGGTGAGCATGGGCTGCATTTTGCAAGCTCTGTTTGCCCAGTGGTGAGCTGGGTCTCACAGCAACTGGCAGCAAGAGTTGACCAGGCATGAGGATGGTGCAGGGGAGCCATGGAGTGGGGGCCTGAGTTGCTGTGGAGGGTCGAGAGGGCAGGTTGGCTGGTGCCCATCGAGGACTGGGGACCCAGCAGTGCAGCCGCTGCAGGCTCTGGGCTGTGACTTCTGGCTTGCATCAGCACCCAAATCACCACAGATCTTGGACTTCCACCCTCAGTGGGCTGATAATTCAAAATTCACAACTTGGTTTTCCCGTAGAAACCGTGTTATGAGCGGTGGGTTAGTCCTCAGCTTGGGTCACAGAGGCCCATGTCACACCTGGTTAGACAAAAGGGGTCAGTGAGGCATTGGGGGACCCACCACACCTGAAGCCACCCCAGCAAGCCTCCCCCAGGGCTCAGGGCTCAGGCTGTGAGAAGGAGGGGCTCCCTCTGCTCCTCCTGGGGTCCTGAGACTGAGGGGTTCCTCCAGGAATCTCTAGGGAAAGGTGAAGGCAGGAGTACCAGACAGGCAGTGGAAGATGAGGTGGCAGCCAAAGTCAGGGTTTCAGTGGGGATGGGTTACAGGCATCTAGGGCAGGGCGGTGTGGAGTGGATAGGAATACGTGAGGAGGGGCCAAAGAAAGGAAGGTTTCTGCAGCCACAAGCTTCTCTCCGCCTGCTGCCCTGCTTGGCCATGCACATTGTCTAAAGTCACGGCACGGGCAGAGGAGCCCCAGCCTCAGGGCAGCTCCGTAGGAGTTTCCCAGGTTGCAAAGCTGGATCCATGCGAGACCTGAAGCTGAGGCCAAACTCTGCACGGCCTCACTAGCTCTTGCCACTGGAGCTGGACACTATATCGTTGGGATGCCCTCTCCCAGCCGGAGCTGACAGGTGGCTGAACACCCTGCCCCTGCCTCAGACACTCTTGTTTGCCCTGTCCCCACAGGTCTAGCTGCAGTGAGGATGAGGAGTGGTTCAGAAGGAGCATGAGGCACAGCCTGTGAGGTGGGGCCCAGAAGATACTGACTACTCATTAATACCTAACCTTGCTTTGTCTGTATCCACGTAAAGACACCTCGTTTACTCTCTATTGTTGGCTCATGAGCGTTGGACTATAATTCATGCCTGATTGAAGCTTACCTAACCCACGGACGCTCTCTGTAAGGCACAGTGCAGCCTTCTTGCCCTTAGGAACACCCCAAGTTTGACTTGACCCCTCATCCTCTACCTGACCCAGCCTGTTCTGAAAGTAGATAAACAGAGCTCATGGGGAACATTCTTTCTCCAGGAAGATCAAAGGAGGACGAGGGTCCTGGCCAGGCAGTGCTGAGGACTGGCTCCCAGGAGGACTAGGGCCTTCCCTGCACTGGGGAGGAAGGAGGTGTGAGGGTAAAAAGGCCCCAGAGCTGAGCTGGGGAAGGGGGATTCTGAGCCGCTCTATGCATACCAGCTCTGACAGCTGGTGCCTCCGGGGACATCTGCGGCCTGTCCTCCTAGGAAGCTCGGATTCCTGTCTACCTTTGCAGTTTCCTGGGCCCCCAGCTACCTGTGTGGGAGGAAAGGGGTGGCTCATCTGGGAAGCCCTTGTCACTGGGTTATGGTTATCCTCTGGGGAGGGTGAGGTGTTTATTCAGAAGCTGCAGGGAACTGACACCAAAACAGAAGCTCCCTGAACTCATCTCTCCAGAATTCTCCCTTCTGTCTCTTTTAAAGGGTTTAATCTTTACAAGCTCCAAACAGCTTATCCAGTAAAGTCATTCAGCAAAAAATAAATCCTCATTGATAATGGTTTAATTTCCTCCTTCCCTCCCTCAAGGACAAGGATTATCCGGCTAAGGGATCCATTCCCTCCCTCCCTCTCTGTTTTCCCGCATTCAAACATCATTTAATTTACATTTGCTACATGGCAGGGGCTGGGTGCAAGTGGGTTTCTCCCCCAGATAAATGCCTTGACTTATGGATCCCTTCTGCCTAGCTGCCCTGTCTCCCACTGCTGCCCCTCACACATCCCAACTGGGATCATCTTGGACACCTCCCGGAAAGTGCTCCACCCCACTTCCGGCATAGGGCACGCTCTGTCTGGCATGCTCTGGCCCTGGCCATGTGTAGCACCTGCCTTCCTGGTAGCCGGGGCGGCTTCAGGCATTTTTTTTTTTCTCACTGCATGCCACTTCCTTGAAGACTTTTCTCCCATTGCCTCACCAGGCTCAGCCCCTGCCTTTGCGTCAGCAGCCCACTCGGAGGCCTGTTGCCCTGCAGGCTCTGGGGTCTGGGCTTGCTTCTGTGGGATTTCTTGTTTGAACTGGCGTGTGTGTGTGTGTGTGTGTGTGTGTGTGTGTGCGCGCGCGCGCGCGCGCGTGTGCCTGTGCGTGTGCATACTTTCCATCAGTCCTCATTGGAGCTTCCTAGGAGCAAGGATCATTTCTTTTCCTCCCTCTGGACCTTTGATCTATCGTCCTGACTGACTGTCCTGAACTCATGGGTGAAGGGACACCTTGGGCCCCAGGCAGGATTTCTGGGGGAGAAGAATTAGATAGCTGCCCCTTTCCGCACTCCCTGACTTTCTATCATTCTCCCACTGCTACCTGGCTTGCCCAAGGAGGCCACCCCAAATGGGGTTTCAAGGACTCTGATTGGCAGAGAGGAGCTGCTGAACCTAAACAAAACACAGCTCCCCCAAGACAGGGAGATCTCAGCCAGGAGGACTCTGGGATGGTTTTCAAACTATGCAATGACGTGGCCTAGGGATTCCTTGCAGGTGACTGCAGGGCCTGGGGAGTGAGGGTTTGCCTTGTTGGGGTGGGGGAGGCAGGGCCCAGCCCCAAACCTACATCAGTCAAGCAGCTCCTCCAATTTTATTAGGCTATTGTGCTTAGTTGAACTTGAAAAATGTGCTTCTGTGGCCTCAAAGCTTAGAAAACCTTCACCCTATTCTAAACCTACAGCCTTCTATTCCTGCCATACTCACAGCTGTCAACCAGGGGCTGGAGGGTTGGAGGGAGGAGCCCATGCTCGCCTTCTAGAAGCTGGGACCCCAGTGGCCATGTCTCTGCAGGAATCCAGCCTTGAGCCTCTGCTTGCTGCTAGTTGGAGAAGGCAGTGCCCAGGGCTAGCTCAAGGCTGCAAGCGCTCACGGGGGGCCACACTGGAAGGGTGTGGAGAGATGGGACCCTGGCGCTTCCCTGGCCTCAGACCCAGGGGGCTAGGGATCCCAGATGCATGACATACACCAGGAAGTGCCACTTTCTGAAGGAAAGAGCATTTACCTAGGAGTCCAAAGGCACGGGCTCGAGTCCGGCTCCCACTCACCAGCCAAGGGACCCAGTTTACTTACTCACTGTGTAGATGGAGGTGACACCCCACTCCTCCTTCCTCACTGGGTCATACTGTGAAGCTGCCAGTATGCTCTGAAAACTGTTGAGTGCTGTTGACACGCAAGGTGCTGCTGTGGCTCTGGTCACAGTCCCCAGGTGAGGAGGAGGGCCAGGGCTCTCCTGGGGCATTTGGGGCAGCCCTTGGCCTGGTGCTTCTGGGCTGAGCTTGAGAAGAATGGGAGAGTCACCAACTTAGTCGTGGGCAGGGTTCGCTTGGGAGGTCCTGGCCTGTCTTGGTCCATTTTGTGTTGCTATAACAGAGCTCCTGAGGCTGGGCAATTTATTAAAAAAAAAAAAAAAAAAAAGAGGCCGGGTGTGGTGGCTCATGCCTGTAATTCCAGCACCTTGGGAGGCGAAGATGGGCAGATTGCCTGAGCTCAGGAGTTTGCGACCAGCCTGGGCAACACGGTGAAACCCCGTCTCTACTAAAATACAAAAAAATTAGCTGGGCATGGTGGCACGTACCTGTAGTCCCAGCTACTTGGGAGGCTGAGGCAGGAGAATCCCTTGAACCCGGGAAGCAGAGGTTGCAGTGAACCGAGATTGCACCATTGCATTCCAGCCTGGGCAACAGAGTGAGACTCTATCTCAAAAAAAAAAGAGGCTTATTTGGAAGAGGCTTATTTGGCTCAGAATTCTGGTGGCTGGAAGGCTTCAGATTGGGCAGCTGTACTGGTGAAAGACTCAGGCTGCTTCAACTCATGGAGAAAAGAAAGGGGAATGAGTGTGTGCATGGAGATCACATGGAGAGACAGGAAGCAAGAGAGAGAAACTGAGGAAGCAAGACTCTTCTTAGCAACCCTGCTTTTGGGGACTAATCTATTCTCTTGAGAGCCAGAATGCACCAATGAATCTATTCACGAAGGATCTGCCCCATGACCCAAACACCTCCCACTACACCACCACACTGGGGATCAAATTTCAACATGGGTTTTGGCGGGGACAACCCACATCCAAATGGTAGCATGGCCAGACCCACCAACCTGGGCAGTATGTGGGCATCTAGGGTTTTGTCAGGAATGGAATAGGTGGCCCTGGGCCTCCTGAGATGGCTCCAGGGGTTTGGAGGAAGGTGAGCTTTTCTGTTAGGCATAACATTGGACCTTTCAGAGTCAGCCCCAAGACACAAGTCTGTTTATTTCCATTCTTCTAGTCCTGGATGAACTAATTTGCCCACCCTAATCCAGGGCAGGCACAAGACCCAGGTGTCTTCCCAGGGGAAGTGGAACAAGGGTGGCCTGCCTGGTCCAGGACGTCAGCTGAGCAGGAGGCCTGGAAGAGGGGAACTTTTGACTCAGGAGGGCTCACATTAGTGGTAGGCTGGGAAATACCCCACAAGTGATGGAAAAGAAGCAGATGGCAGATCAGGAACTGGATGTGGCAGTTAGGGTGACCTGCAAAGGAATGCAAAAGAACGGGTTTGCAGGTCCCAGGAGGGAGTTGCGGACGTGCAGCTTCCTTCTTAGGCTGTTTTTTCTCCCATCCTCCCTACAGAAGGCCTGTCAGCTTTGCCAAGATCCAGGGGTCTGGAGATCAGTGAGCCGCAAGCCGCACATGCACCCAGGACTGCTGTCTCTGTCAGGCGTCTTTGAAATATCTTTGCATTATACAAGTCATAGGTGCTTGCAGGGGAAAAAAATGCAAACAACAAATGTACGAAGAAAATGAAAGTTCTCTTCCCTGCTCACCAACAGCCTCTGGCCCCTTCTGAAACCAAGCCCAGTAAAAGAATTCCTAACTTGGGAAAGCCAACGACTGGTGTTGAAGTGTCATTCTACCTGCAGGCATGCCTGTTAACGTGCATTGCCAGGTGACAGTCCAAATCACACACCCAGGGTTTAATTTTCCACGAATGTGGGCATCAATGACAGAGATAACCTGAGCAGCAGGTAATCTCAAGCCAGCTCTCTTCAAGTGGGTTGCATTATTTGGTTGCTTACATTTTTGTATGCTGCAAAATTACCTTTCTAGAGGTGCCTGGTTCTGGCTGAAATGGAGTCGAGTTTGGATTAAATGAGCCTAAATCCATCAGTGGAGTTGGATGGGTGACCTGAACCCAGAGATGATCTTCTTGTGTAGGGGGAGGATTGGTGAGAAAGCTGGAGTGAGGACTCTGCAGCAGGAAGTGACCTGAAAGACAAAAGACCATGCTGTCCCGAGGCATCTCTCCCCTGCCGGAAGTCTCTTCCTCTGGGTTAATAAGAACTGGTTGTGGCACTGACTCCATGACCTCTAGGAAGCATTTGAGGAGTGCTCCCCATGTGCTCCTCCAGCCAGCCCTCCATCCCTCTCCTCCTTGCTGGGGAGGCTACCTGAAGCCACCCCTGTGGGCTGCCAGCTGGTCCAGGCAATGCGTGGGAGGAGCGTGAGGTCCCTTTGTCAGCAGCCTGACTGCCTCCTAAAGGACTGGGGGGTGGCAGTGGCTGATTTCTCTCCTGAAGGCTTCCTTGTTCTCATGGACACAGGCAGCCCTCTCCTACAGCTACAGCACACGCCAGGCCATGGAAACCAACCAAGTGGCCATTACTACTCAGTCAAACTCCAACCAATCCAAACCACAGGTGAGGGGGTGGAGGACTCAGAAGAGAGAAACACCGTCCCAGAAAGTGACAAGAACACAGATGCTGTGGTGAAGATCATGGACTTTACCTGAGTTGGGTGAGTCTCCACATCACCACTTACTAGCTGGTAGCTAGTGAGCCCAAAGTGGCTTTGGCTTTGGGCAACATACTTAACCCCTTGAAACTACAGTTTTTCCCTTCCCTTCCCCTCCCCTCCTCTTGTCTTCCCTTTCTTGAGTCTCACTCTGTTGCCCAGGCTGGAGTGCAGTGCCACGATCTCGGCTCACTGCAGGAGGTGATTCTCCTGCCTCAGCCTCCCAAGTAGCTAGGATTACTGGAGGCATGCACCTCCAGGCCCAGATAATTTTTATATTTTTAGTAGAGATGGGGTTTCACCATGTTAGTCAGGCTGGTCTTGAACTCCTAACCTCAGGTGACCCCCCCCCACCCCCACCGCCTTAGCCTCCCAAAGTGCTGGGATTACAGGTGTGAGCCACTGCACCTGGCCTGGATTTCAGTGTTCTTATCTTTAAAATGGGATGGCCGGGCATGATGGCTCACACCTGTAATCCCAACACTTTGGGAGGCTGAGACAGGTGGATCACCTGAGGTCAGGAGTTTGAGACCAGCCTGGCCAACATGGTGAAACCCCGTCTCTTCTAAAAAATGCAAAAAAATTAGTTGGGCATGGTGGCAGGCACCTGTAGTCCCAGCTACTCAGGAGGCTGAGGCAGGAGAATCTCTTGAACCCGGGAGGTAGAAGTTGCAGTGAACTGAGATGGCACCATTGCACTCTAGCCTGGGTGACAGAGTGAGACTCCATCTCAAAAACAAATAAACAAACAAAAATTAAAATAAAATAAATAAATGAAAAATAAAATGGGGCAATAATACTTTGATTGCATTGTTGCTGTGAGGATTAAATCAGTAATGTATGTGAAGGACAGTGTCTGGCCCACAGTAGGAGCTCTCTAGGTGGCATTGTGGAGAGGCAGTGTGTTTAAAGCACAGACTCTGGAGCCAGATGATTTGGGTTAGAATTTTCTTTAGTAGCTGTCTGACCTTGGGCAAGTTATTTTGTGTTTCTGGATAGAATTTTCTTATCTGCAAAATGGGTTCACTGATGTTTCCACAGGGCTGTTAGGATGATCAAGTGGGATAGCACAGGTCAAGGACTTAGATAGTGACTGGCCTTTGTATTAAAAATAAATCAACTGGACTGGTGTGGTGGCTCATGCCTGTAATCCCAGCACTTTGGGAGCCCAAGGCGGGCAGATCATGAGGTCAGGAGATCGAGACCATCCTGGCCAACACGATGAAACCCCGTCTCTACTAAAACACACAAAAAAATTAGCTGGGCGTGATGGCGCACGCCTGTAGTCCCAGCTACTCAGGAGGCTGAGGCAGGGGAATCGCTTGAACCAGGGAGGCAGAGGTTGCAGTGAGCCAAAATCACGCCACTGCATTCCAGCCTGGTGACAGAGTGAGACTCCATCTCAATAAATAAATAAACAAAATAATAATAAATACATCAATATTTTATTAGAACCTTTCTGATGATGGTGAGCATGTGTCTGCTGTACCTGGAGGGCCTGGGGTGTGGTGTGGAGAAGTCAGAGCCTGTGTCCTGGTCTGCAGGAGAGTTTGACCCTATTCTGCCCACACCTGTCTGACTACTTTCTTCCTCAAATTTTTCCAACCTGGATCTTCTAACTTTTTCACCTTCCGTCTCCAGCCACTGTCTGCAATCTCCTCAGACACCTCTTGGTTAGCCCATGGCAGCCCCAGACCCTTGCGGGCAGAGCTGCTGGACTCATTGCTCTGCCTGGGAGGGGCCTGGGCCTGAGTAGCTCAGTGCTGCGCTGCCCTTGCCCTGCGAGCATGTACACTCGCCAGGCAGTCCCGGATGAATCACGCCCCACACCGAGTAGTTAGCCCAACTCGCAACAGAGGCCCTGTGTGCTGCTTTTGTGTGTAGTGTTTCTTTCCATTCCGTGAGTCAGAAAACACCGTCACGCAGCCATGTGATCTCCCTATCTTCTGCCAAGGAGCTATGTGCAAAGGATTGCTGGAAAACCCTCGAGGGATGAGGGAGGGCAGCCGTGACTGCCAAGAGGGAGGCTGAGCTGAGAGAACTGGAGAATGGAAGTCATCTCAGGAAAAGAGCGTTCCGAGGGGCTCTGGTGTGGTGAGACCAGAGACCCGCCCACAAAGGCAGCTGCTGGTGGGTGAAGGGCCCTACCTTGGCCACGTGTGGGTGGGATCTCTACCCCCTTGACCCCTGGAGTATAATCTGATTATTTTGTCTAATTGTAAATGGAAAGCTTGCTTATACAAAATTCCAGATCGATACAGAAAACTATAAAAAAGAAAGGACATATCTCCCACCTGCCACCACCAGATGCTGTATTAATCCAGTGAGACATTTTCCATTTGCCTTTGGGCGTGGACCTGCCAGGCTCCGGTCCATTGAACTCCATTGAGCTCCTAGCTGCAGCCCAGGTCTGTTCCTGCCCCGGTCCTGGGACTCTGTCCTTCCAAACACCACAGGGAGAGGTTCTCATCCCAACTTGGCCATTAGCTTGCTGTGTGCCCTTAGACAAATCACTCTGTCTGAGTCTTATTTGTCTCTTCAGTTAAAAATGAGATAATAGGGCTGGGCACGGTGGCTCACACCTGTAATCCCAGCACTTTGGGAGGCCAAGGCGGGCGAATCACCTGAGGTCAGGAGTTTGAGACCAGCCTGGCCAACATGGCAAAACCCCGTCTCTACTAAAAATACAAAAATTAGCCAGCCATGGTGGTGGACGCCTGTAATCCCAGCTACTTGGGAGGCGGAGGTGTGAGAATTGCTTGAACCCGGGAGGTGGAGGTTGCAGTGAGCCAAGATGGTGCCACTGCATTCCAGCCTGGGCGACAGAGTGAAACTGTTGCAAATAAAATAAAATAAAATAATAAAAAAATGAGATAATAATTGGGCAGACTTGTTGAGAAGGTGGAAGGCATGGGGAGATATGAAAATAACTGCAACATCACAAAAATCTCTTCAATGTATGAGAAGTGCTGGCTTGATGCCCTTTTCCCTGCCTCAGCTCATTTAACCCCAAGGGTGGTGTTGAGCCCAGCTCCTCTGCTCCACCATTGACTTGTCCATGTTGGCCGAAGGCCTTCCCCAGACACCCTAGGATTGGCTTAGGGCAGGGAGGTCTCAGGCTGTGGTTCTGACTGACCACTGAGACCCCATCCCTGAACACTGGCCAAGCCCTGGGGCCGGCACTCACCTGGTTCAGAAGAACTCAAAACCCTGTTTTGTTGCCAGTTTGGAGCCAAAATAACTGTGCCCCCTCCTCCCCCATGCAGGCACTCATCCCCACCATGGCTGGAGTAATAACCAAAGCCGTTCTTGCTCAGAAGCCTTTTCTGATTTCAGAAACCTTTGTAACTTTCCCAACTTGTTGTGTTATCTTTAGATTGTAGTGATTCTTGTAAAACAAAGGGTTTGCGTACTTACCCCAAGGATAATTAATGACACTATAAGAACGTTAGTTCAGCTGTTTGCAAACCACTCCTTGTATTCATTTCAGTAACACACCTATGAATTTATATATTGGAAATCATCGCCATTCCCGCCTTCTAGAAGAGTAAAAGGGGGCTCAGGGGACAAACGTCTCTTAGTATACAATGAGTATTCTGTGAGCCTATTTCCCATGCCTGCCTCCTGGCTCTGGGAGTGCGGAGCCAGCTGCAGGCTCTGTTCCCACTGGCCCACACCCGTCTTCAGGCAGGAAGTCCCCAGGACCAGCACAGCCCCTCCCCACACAGCGGCCTTAGCAGGGAGGGGTTCAGCCCCTCCAGGCTGATCCAGGGCTCAGGGCCCAGGTGGGTCGCTGCAGCGAATCCCCTCATTGGGCTCATCATCACCCGTGCTCATAGACTGTCCCCATGTAGATTCCGCAGATGGTGAACCTTCAGCTACCAGTGTGTGCGTCCAAGACTTTTCCACAAAAACAAGACATCGCAGAAACTCTCCCCGCCCAGGTTGTGTGTCTGGGCTCCAGCCTCAGTTCCCTCAATCTGAGGTCCTGCTCCCATTGTGTGTCCCTTGAACCCTGTCCAGGAGATGGACAGAGGCTGCCTGCCTGCTCCCGTTTCCACACCCTGGCCCCAGGATGCATCCTTCTGCCTACTGGACATTAGCTGCCACTTCCACCTGCAGCAAGGAGCCACGGTCACAAACCTTAGGCCCTGGGCCCTGCCTGATGGGTGAGACCATCCTTGTTGGTGGGGTCTCAGACTTGGTACCCGTCTCTGGTCCATCCTGATTTACTTGAAGGACACAGCCATGCCTCCCTACAGGCAGCAGCCGAGCAAGGACTCTAACCCAGGTCCTTTCGTGCCAGACCCCACATTACCTTGTTCATACTGTGGCAAGGACTGTGGAGCCAGGGTCCCTCAAAGCCAGCCTTGGGGTAGAGAAGAGAGGTGAGCTATGAAGAGGTGAGACAGCAGGCAGGTCCTGTGGAAGGCAGGAGGCCTCACAGTGGGAGAAGGTCAGTGAGGGTGATGGAGAAGTGGATTTGGGGAATCAACCAGGAGGGGCCCTGTGGGGCTCTCAGACCTATGGCCACTCTGGGGCTGCCTAGAGACTGTCATAATAACCACAGTCATTATGATGATGGTAGGTAGTATTTAGTGAGCATTTACTATATGCTGAGTATTGGATTACCTGCCTTCCTGTATTACCTTATTTTATTCTCATGGTAACCTGCTGAAATAGGAGCTATTATTATCTTCTGCTTTACAGGGGAGGCCGCTGACCCTTGGGGAGGCTAAACAACCTGCCCACAGGCATTCTCTCATAAGCAGATCTGAGATGAAAGTCCAGGCTGCCTGATTCCGGGCCCCACTCTCTCTGACTTCTAGAATTATTTGCTTCTTGGAAAAAAACAAAACCACCCTGCCCAGATGGTGGGGAGTTGGGGGTGTCAGGAGTTTCAGTTTTGTAGAGGAAAGATAAGTGCATTTATGTGGTTTCCACACAGAGGCATACCTTTGATTGTAGGGTCTGGAGAGGGGCCCTTTTGGAGAAGGTCATCTTCCCTGAATGAAGACGCAGCTCTGGTTGGAGGGGCCTCTGAGAAGCAGCCAAATCAGTCCTGCTAACCCACAGGCCAGTG
Organism: Homo sapiens; assembly: GCF_000001405.40. NCBI lineage: Eukaryota > Metazoa > Chordata > Mammalia > Primates > Hominidae > Homo > Homo sapiens. Next base: position 212,473,442 of record NC_000001.11, read on the forward strand.
AGCCATGGCCAGACCACTCTCCCATTCACAGAAAGTGGGTCTGTGCCTGGGATACACGGAAGAATAAGTTCAGTACATTCAAGGCCAGGCATGGTGGCTCATGCTTGTAATCCCAGCACTTTGGCAGGCCGAGGCAGGAGGATTGCTTGGGGTATACCCGTGGGCTGCCAGCTGGTCCAAGCAATGGGTGAGAAGGTTCAAGACCAGCCTAGGCAACAAAGCAAGACCTCCAGCTCTAAAATAACAATAATAATGATAAATAAATAAATTCAATACATATGCCAGGCCTTGTTGGTTAGAGACCAATGCTTAAGAGCCTGCGGAAGAACAGCTTACGACCACTCTGTGGTTTTTCCTCCCCATTTGGCTGCCTGAGCGGTGCAGTGGGAGCTGCAGATCAGGCTTCAGTAGGCAACAGCTGAATAGGCGAGAGGGTATCTGCACACCTTCTGGCCAGTCTTGACCTCGGGTTGGGTAGCAGCGAGCCTTGGGGTTTTCATGAACAGGTGACTGGGCCAGGTGCAGTGACTCATGCCTGTAATCCCAGCACTTTGGTTGGCTGAGGTGAGAGGATCGCTTGAGGTCAGGAGTTTTGAGACCAACCTGGGCAACATAGCGAGACGCCATCTGTATTTAAAGAAAAAGAGAGAGAGAGAGAGAGAGAGAGAGAACAGGTGGCTTAAGATAGGCAGGTGAGGAGCGGGGCCCTCAGTGTGAGCCAGTTATTGTCCATGCAGCCCTTTGGCCAGCCCTAGCTCTGCTGCAGTGTCTGGATCCAAGGGCTTCCCTCATGTGCTGGCTCAGCCTGGCTCCTCTGCTCCTTCACAGGTCCGCGGATCAAAACTCTTTTTTCGTATTTCCTTGAACAAACCATAGGTTGTAAAACTGCTGCAAACAATTATTGTGAAGCCAGAGGGAGAAAATATTAAGATATGTGGTGCTTTAACTTTTTGACTGGACTCACAGTAAGAAATGTATTTTATATTGTAATCAAGTGTGTACACACACACACACACACATATACACTCAGATACACACAACTAAAACAGAAATTTTCTTGAAACAATTATTAATTGTACTATATGCAATACACTTCATGTTTTGTATTTCATTCAATTTCATTTAAATAAAATGTGATTTGAGATGCTAGTTAGTGGGTCATGAAATCAATTTAGAGACTCTCAAACTACATTAAAAAACACCAGGTTAGCTGAAGATGCTGATAGCTAGAATAACGAACAGACTGAATAGTTCATCTGTCTTGACTCCCCCTGGGACCTGAATTTTCTGAGGTCAGAGGCTGAGCCCTCCCTGTAAGTCCTAATGTGGGATCCTGCACCCATTAACCTTCTGAAAATACAGACACTATGGCAAACACCAGGACTCCAAGCAGAAAGGGGGTCCAGGGGAGAAGGCAGGAGGTGCCTGTCTTCAGAGTTAACATTTCGTTGGGATTTATTTAGCCATAAAATGACTTCCAGGGAACAGGAAACAGGTTGAATGAGGCTAGAGAACAAGATGAGGACATTAGAGGCAAAACACTCCCCAAAGCTGTTCTGAGCATCCTGAGCATTGCTGTGTGATCAGCACAAAGAGGAAGGAATAGCGAATGGTTAAGAGGATAGACTCAGGAGCCAGCTGGCCTTGGGTGGAACCTGCCTTGCTATGCCTCAATTTCCTTATTCCTATAAAATGGCGATGTAGTACTATTCAATTCTTAAGAGTTGTTACCTAATCAGTATGCCAGTTATCAATGCTAAAAAAATAAAGCAGCTGAACTGCCCACACAAATCAGGCTCCAACTCTTGCCAGCGACGGTCAAGATTTTGGGGCTCCAAGTATGTGGGCAGGTCCGTGGCTTTCTTCCACATTGTGCAGAAAGGGGAGAATGTGGGTTTCTGGGCGCAGCTTTGCAATTCCAGCAAGCCTGGCATATGTCTTAGATGAATGAATAAAGGATGAATGGGTTCTCTTTTCTCTGTCCCCACTGACATTGCTTAGCTGAGGGCAGGGCCTCAGCTACTAGACTCTCTATTCCATACTCCACACTCTTGCTAAAATGATCTTTCTAAAGTGCAAATTTGAGAATGTTTCTTTCTAGGAGGAATCCCTATATTATGCCCCTGCTTAAACCCTTGGAAGGCTTTCAATGGTCTATGATGCATTCCAAACTCCCTTCTAGGCAAAGCCTCAGGCCATCTCTCAAACCCACTCTTCTTCTTTTTTATTTATTTATTTTTTATTATACTTTAAGTTCTAAGGTACATGTGCACAACGTGCAGGTTTGCTACATAGGTATACATGTACCATATTGGTTTGCTGCACCCATCAACTTGTCATTTACATTCGGTATATCTCCTAATGCTATCCCTCCCCCAGCCCCCAACCCCCTGACAGGCCCTGGTGTGTGATGTTCCCCCGCCCTGTGTCCAAGTGTTCTCATTGTTGAGTTCCCACCTATGAGTGAGAACATGCGGTGTTTGGTTTTCTGTCCTTGTGATAGTTTGCTGAGAATGATGGTTTCCAGCTTCATCCATGTCCCTGCAAAGGACATGAACTCATTCTTTTTCATGGCTGCATAGTATTCCATGGTGTATATGTGCCACATTTTCTTTAACCAGTCTATCATTGATGGACATTTGGGTTGGCTCCAAGTCTTTGCTATTGTGAATAGTGCCACAATAAACATACGTGTGCATGTGTCTTTATAGTAGCATGATTTATAATCCTTTGGGTATATACCCAGTAATGAGATTGCTGGGTCAAATGGTCTTTCAAGTTCTAGATCCTTGAGGAATTGCCACACTGTCTTCCACAATGGTTGAACTGATTTACACCAACAGTGTAAAAGCATTCCTATTTCTCCACATCCTCTCCAGCATCTCATCTGTTGTTTCCTGACTTTTTAATGATCGCCATACTAACTGGCGTGAGATGGTATCTCATTGTGGTTTTGATTTGCATTTCTCTAATGACCAGTGATGATGAGCATTTTTTCCTGCGTGTTGGCCACATAAATGTCTTCTTTTGAGACGTATCTGTTCCATATCCTTTGCCCACTTTTTGATGGGGTTTTTTTTTTCTCATAAATTTGTTTAAGTTCTTTGTAGATTCTGGATATTAGCCCATTGTCAGATGGGTAGATTGCAAAAATTTTCTCCCATTCTGTAGGTTGCCTGTTCACTCAGATGGTAGTTTCTTTTGCTGTGCAGAAGCTCTTTAGTTTAATTAGATCCCATTTGTCTATTTTGGCTTTTGTTGCCATTGCTTTTGGTGTTTTAGTCATGAAATCCTTGCCCATGCCTATATCCTGAATGGTATTGCCTAGGTTTTCTTCTAGGGTTTTTATGGTTTTAGGCCTTACATTTAAGTCTTTAATCCATCTTGAATTAATTTTTGTGTAAGGTGTAAGGAAAGGATCCAGTTTCAGCTTTGTACATATGATTAGCCAGTTTTCCCAGCACCATTTATTAAATAGGGAATCCTTTCCCCATTTCTTTTTTATTTTTCAGGTTTGTTAAAGATCAGACGGTTGTAGATGTGTGGTGTTATTTCTGAGGCTTCTGTTCTGTTCCACTGGTCTCAGGCCCATTCTTCACCACCCTCTTCACACCCTAGCTTCTGGTCCTACCAAATAATTTGCATTCTCTGACGGTGCAATATAATCTCAAGTCTCCATGGTTTTGCCCATGTCATTCCCTGCACCTTGCCTGTCACAGCCCTGCCAGCTGGTCTGGCCCCATTATAAAGACTTATGACGCTCAGTGGAAGCACTGTGTCCTCTGACCTGTAGAGCCGGGAGCTTCTCCTCTGTGCTCCCACTTGCTCTGACATTATTCTGAGGAGGAAAGCTGAAAGGCTTGCCCGGCTTCTGGACTCTGGCCACTAGAGAGCAGTAGAGGGTAGACAAGCATCTGGCCTGGGAAACCCCAGACCTGCTCTTCTTGCTCTGTCCTTCCAGACACCGCCACATCTCACTCCCGGAATCTGCACAGCCCCTTTGTGGGTCTCTTGGCATCTGCCACGCCATCTTCACTTTTATGCGCAGAGCTGGCCAACCAAGGGCACTGTTAAAAAATAAAATTTCAACATAGTGAAACAAGTAATTGGCTTTCCTTTTTTTTTTTTTTTTTTTTGAGACAGGGTCTTGCCCTGTCATCCAGGCTGGAGTTGCAGTGGTGCGATCTCGGCTCACCGCAGCCTTGACCTCCCAGGCTCAAGCGATCCTCCCACCTTAGCCTCCAGAGTAGCTGGGACTACAGATGCGCACCATAAAGCTGAGCTATTTCTTTTGTAAAAGAAGGGGTTACACCATGTTGCCCAGGCTGGTCTTGTGCTCAAGTGATCTGCCAGCCTTGGCTTCTCAAAGTGCTGGAATTACAGGCATGAGCCACCACACCCAACCTTTTTTTTTTTTTTAATTGAGACAAAGTCTCACTCTGTTGTCCAGGCTGCAGTGCAATGGGGCAATCATAGCTCACTACAGTCTTGAACTCCTGGGCTTAAGTGATCCTCTTGCCTCAGCCTCCTGAGTAGCTGGGACTGCGGGCATGCACCACTGTGCCTAGCCCTACTTGGCTTTTATTAGTGATCCAGGAATCAGACAGCATATCTTCCAAAATAGAGGGAGTTCCACTCGGCACGACAGATCCATTGTAAGGTAGCTTGAGCAGGAACAAGGAAACAGAATACCACAAAAAAGCAGATGAGTTAACGTCAGGTTGCTTTCCTTATAAGGGTTAAAGGAAAGAGGACTATCTTATCGTGCCAGCTCAGGTTTACTGGGCCCTTTCCAATTGGTTGCCATAAATCTCCTATTTTTAGGAAAACATGATCTGTTAGGGGATTTTCCTGCTTCATAAAGTTTCAGTTTGATTATGCAGCACTTAGCACGAGTGACTCCATTTTGGCTTGGTCTGTTGGGGCCTAGTGTAGGACCTCAGTCCAAAACAATGGGCTCCTATAAATTTTATTTAACATCACCACGGAGTGGGGCAGTGAGTGAGAGGGGTGAAGTGTGACAACCTATAGATTGTATCTGTGAGTGCTCTTGCTGCAAACGGCAGGAACTCACTCTGGCTAACTCAAGCTAAGAACGAGCTTATGAGAAAGAATATTGGATGGTTTACAGGATTGATTCGTGTCTGGCAAACCAGGTTCGGGAAAATGGGCAGGGAACACCCTGAAGGCCAGGTAGCTAAGAACCTAGTCACAGCCGCTCAGCCTCGGGGTCAGGATGCCTGTGTGAATTCTGCTACCAGTTACCATGGACTGCTGGACTCTCGACCCCACTGCCATGGCTTGACCTCCCAGACTCAAGCAATCCTTCCACCTTAGTGTTCTGAGTAGCTGGGACTACAGGTGTGCACCGTCTCTAATTACCTGTCTCTCCCTCAAGAGTCAAAGCCCCCAGCCTGAGCATCCCACGGGCTGAGCCTGGGTCAAACATGGGCCCTAGAAGACTGTCTGCTTCCTGTCGAGACCACCCCCTGGAGGACTCCTCCACATAGGAAGGACTCAAATGTAAGCAGACAAAAATCAACAGATGTCCTCTGCGGGATTCACCGGTTTCCTCTCTAGAATGAGCTCATTCTGGAAGGCACTCAGGAGTTCATCTGAGTATCCAAGAAGTCCTTTTGCTGCTTTGTTGGGGTGAGGGGAGTGAAGACAGAGAGGTGTGTCAGTTGCCCCGTCATCTCCAGCACTGGTTCCCGCAGAAGTCACCAGTATCCACCCAACAGAACCAGGATGAATGGTTTGAGTGTGGTCATTCCTCACAGAAGGAATGGGCTGGGGAGCAGGAAGGGGAAAGCAAGGCAGCTGCAGTTTTATAATGTGCCTGCCCAGGACAGGCGGCCATCCATCAGGGAGAAGGAGGACCTCTGTGGAAACAGAGTATGAAGCAATCTGTTTCACTTGAAGTGATTGTGTGAACTGATATAGTTGTTTGTCATAAATGTTGGCTATGTATGGAGTTATTCTGACCCTTAGAAAACACTCCATCCAGGCGTAGTGGCTCACGCCTGTAATCCCAGCTACTCCGGAAGCTGAGGTGGGAGGATCGCTTGAGCCCAGGAGGTCGAGGCTGCAGTGAGCTGAGATCGCATCACTGAGCTCTAGCCTGGGTGACAGAGTGAACCCCTGTCTCAGGAAAAAAAAGAAAGAAAAAAGGAAACACTCCAACGCTTCAGGAAACTAAGTCCATTGTTTCATAGACTTTCCTCCACTGGAAGCACACAGATGCTGGGGTCTCAGGCACTGCTGCTGGGGAAGGGAGCCTTAGCTCTGCTCAAGAGCAGAATGGCTCCAGGGACAGGAGAGGGAAGCAGAACGAGAGAGCCACACTTTTCCCTAAAACTGTGGTTTAGAAACTGGACTGCACAGACCCCAGTCACCTCTGGGACCCCAGGCATGCATAGCCCTAGGTAGAGGTCTGTCAGATAAAACAGAGGACACTCAGTTACATTTGAAAATCAGATAAAATTTTAGTATAAATAGGTCCCATGTAATATTTGGGATCTTTACACATTTTTTATTTTTTTAAAAATTGAAACTTAACTGGATGTCCTGTGTGACATTGTGATATAATAAGAAATAGATATTTGGTCTTCATCCCCAGTTCCTGGACAGAGCTCCTAAGCACTTGTAATTTCCTGAGTGACTGGGGAGATAGGAGCATCTCTTGTACTATTTGGTCTCAGTCTCCAGTTCCTAAAACAAAGCTTCTAAGACCCTTGAAATCTCCAGAGTGATGAGTGTCTTTTTATATGTTAATGAGATAACTGGTGGCTGGGGGCCTCTAGATAGCTTCAGGTTGGGAGACAGTCACCAGAAAGACCAGAGAATGACTAGAGTTTTCAGTTCTCTCCCAAATCTGGGAAGGGGTTAGGGGCTGGAGATTGAGTTAGTTAACAATGGTCAATAATTTTTACCAATCATGCCTGCATAGTGGATCTCCCATAAAAACCCTAGAGAACACAGCTCAGAGAACTTCCGGTTGGCAAATGCATCAGCACGCTGGGAGGGTGGTGCACCCCAATTCCATGGAATAGAAGCTCCTGTGCTTGGGACCCTGGACCTCCCTGTATGTACAGTACCTTCCCTCCTTTTTTTGAGATGGGGTCTTGCTATGTTTCCCAGGCTGGTTTTGAACTCCTGGCCTCAGGTATGCTTCTGCCTCAGCCTCCTGAGTAGCTGAGATGATATATACAGTACCTCTTCATCTGGCTGTTCATTTGTATCCTTTATAATATCCTTTATAATAAATCCATTATAGTAAGTAAAGTGTTTCCCTGAGTTCTGTGGGCCATGATAGCAAATTATTGAACCTGAGGAAGGGGTCATGGGAACTCCTGATTTGCAGCCAAGTGTGGATAACCTAGGGACCCAGTACTTGCGATTGGTGTCGGAAGTGGGCGCAGTCTTGTGGGACTGAGTGCTTAGCCTGTGGGGTCTGTGTTGACTGCGTAGTGTCAGAATTGAATTAAATTGTAGGACACTCGGTGTCCTCAGAGACTTAGAGAATTGCTTGGTGTGAAAACCTCACACGTTTGATGTCAGAAGTGTTATGTGAGTAGAGAAACTGTTCTATTTTTCCTTTGTTCCTGTATTTTTATTTGCTAAACATGGCAACCTTACTTGAGTATGCTGCTTTTTAAAAATTTATTTTGGGGCTTAGGCTGGGTGTGGTGGCTCATGCCTGTAATCCCAGCACTCTGGGAAGCTAAGGTGGGTGGATCATTTGAGGTCAGGAGTTTGAAACCAGCCTGACCAACATGGCAAAACCCCATTTCTACTAAAAATACAAAAAAAATTAGCCGGGCGTGGTGGTGGACGCCTGTAATCCCAGCTACTTGTGAGGCGGAGGTGTGAGAATTGCTTGAACCCGGGAGGTGGAGGTTGCAGTGAGGCTAGATTGCACCACCACACTCCAGCCTGGGCAACAGAGTGAGACTCTGTCTAAAAAAAAAAAAAAAAAAAGAGAAGAAAAAAATTTCTTTCGGGTCCTAGGTTAGATTTTCTTGGAATAAGAAAGGTGTTTTGTTTTGCTTTGTTTGTTTTATAAAAATGCAGCTATGCATGGAAGGAAAGGTTTGTACTGCCAAAAAAAATAAAAGTTTTGAAAGTCATGCTGACTTTTCATTTTTTTCCTCTTTACATGGAAAAACTTAGCTGTAATGAATATTTAATTAATTCTTTCACCCTGTACATTTTTTTTTTTTTTTGAGATGGAGTCTTGCTCTGTTGCACCGGCTGGAGTGCAGTGGTGAGATCTCAGCTCACTGCAACCTCTGCCTCCTGGGTTCAAGCAATTCTCCTGCCTCAACCTCCTGAGTAGCTGGGATTACAGGCACATGCCATCACACCCAGCTAATTTTTGTATCTTTGTATTTTATAGAGACCATGTTGGTCAGGTGGTCTTGAACCCCTGACCTAAGTGATCCACCCTCCTCGGCCTCCCAAAATGCTGGGATTGTAGGCATGAGCCACCTCACCCGGCCCACCCTTTACATATTTTACAGTGCCTCTATCACAGCCCAGGCACTGTTGCAGATGATGGGGACAAAATGAAGTGAAGAAGGCAAAGCTGTTGCTGTCTGACAGGTCTCTCCAATTTATTGGGGCAGACAGACCACATGGAGAGAAGAGATCATGTGTGGTTGGAGGTGCAAGGTGCAGAGAGGAAGTTGGCACCACTTGGATCTTGGCAGAGCAGGGAAGAATGAAGTGAGGCTGTAAGTGATGGGAGCCAGATGTTGACACGGACACTCTGGTTTCAGTGGGTCATTGGTCAAAGCTGATGTACAGGCAACCGGAAGAGACTGGTCCTCTTGGACTTCTTCCCTTACTATATTGTTTAATCCTGTCTTGGTTAAGATTGATTAAATAGTAAAGCAACTATTTTCTGTTTGGTTGACTTCAAATATGTGGCATGGGTGAGCCATTTCCTCAGGGCATCTTCAGGATCTGACTGAAGGATCCAGCCCAAGGCCCTGTGGGTTTGAGGGGAGGAGAGGACACAGTCCAGGAGCCACCTTTACCTGTGGACTTGAGGCTCCTTCCAGCCCTGACCAATGACAGGAGCATGGCAGAGGGAAACCAAGAGATTCTGAAGGAGGAGGAATGTTCAAAGGGCAAAAAGCTCTCAATTTTATTAACTCTTGAATAAACAACTCGTCCTTAGGGACAGATGAGTAACCCAGGAGGAACCCAACTCTATGAAGGGCAGAGTTGCATTCTATTGCCCTAGGAAACAACAAGGGAAAATGAGATTCCTCTGTTATCCTGAACATGGATTATTCTTGTCCCCCCTCCCTTTTTTTAAATCATTAGAGGGATTTATTTCCTTTCCGGAAGAGTCACTCTTCTGCGGTCCTTCCACACCCAGCTTTGGACTGGGCCACCTGGCAAGGGTGTGAAGTGGACTTGTGGTTGATGATCTAAGGTTCTCCAGCCATACACATGTTTGGGTCCAGCCATTGGCACCAGGTGACTCAGCCTTTGAGCCTGGCCACGCTTGGTCAGGAACACGTGAGATCCCCAGCATGTGACCAAGCCTCAAGCATTCATGTGGGCTGTGGACACGGAGGCTTAGAGACAGCATAGTGGGAGCCCAGAACCACAACCAGTAGCCCAAGGATTAGTGAGCCAACTGCAAGTGTGCGGAACACAAGAGCATCATTTTCTCCTGCTCCTCCAGGGAGCTAGAAATAGAACTCTGCCCTTTGTCCTTGAGGAGCTGAGGCAACTGCCTGGCATGGCGTGGGTGTTGGTGACCACAGGCCCCTTTGTTCCTCTCTCCCACTCACCCTCCCGCTCCTTCCTCGCTCCTGTGACCCTCGGTCCCTGGCCCGTGGAGACTGTGGGCAGGGCTCAGGGCCACTGGGTGGTGTCTGGGTGAAGGTGGCTGCTTAGCACTGGCACATGTGGAGAATGTGGTGGTGAGCTCCCTCTCAGCTGCCGTTTCCTGGCCGGCATTAGCGTTGCCACCCAAAGCCTTCCCAAGCGTGGCTGACCCTGACCTGGGGCATTCAGAAGTGTCTGGCTTCTTCCTGGCAGTAACTTCGGTGTCAGACACGGGCCTCTAGGGTATTGTTTTTCAAATGTCATTAACTGGCCGGGCACAGTGGCTCATGTCTGTAATCCCAGCACTTTGGGAGACTGAGGCAAATGGATCAATTGAGGTCAGGAGTTCGAGACCAGCCTGACCAACATGGTGAAACCCCATCTCTACTAAAAATACAAAAATTAGCCGGGGGTGGTGGCACGTGCCTGTGATCCCAGCTACTTGGGAGGCTGAAGCAGGAGAATCGCTTGAACCTGGGCGGTGGAGGTAGCAGTGCACCAAGATTGCGCCACTGCATGCCAGCCTGCGCAACGAGAGCGAAACTTCATCTCAACAACAACAACAAAAAAAGTCATTAACTGAAACCCATAGTGAAAAACACTTGTACTTTACTTTGCATCCCGTGCACACATTATATACTGGATGTTTCCACTGAACGGCCTCCTCCCTGGCTCCCCTGCTCTCAGTTTCCCTTGGGTTCAGCGGCAGGGCAGGCCTGGCAGGACTGCAGAGACAGGGAGAAGGGGGAAGTACTTACTCCCCAGTGGGGTTGCCACAGGCTAGCTGGTCCCTCACCTGATGATCCCCGCTCTTTCCACATCATTCTCTGTCTCCAAGTTCTGAAAACACTTTCCTCCTTCAAGCCTTCAAGCCTAAAGGTGATAAGTGAGCCCCACTGTCCCTTATGATTTACCCACACCCTGTCCCATCTTTGTAAACAGCCTCTATCAAATGCTCCGAGAAATTATTCAATTAGAATGTGCTGTTTTTCTATTTCAGGGGCATTGGCTCAAGTTTATCCATGTATTATGTGTGTGTACATACACCCATACAACACACATACATATACACATATATGTATATATATACACACCAATGATTCATGAAGTAATACTCACCCTTACTCGTCTGTGAGACACTCTAATATGTTATTCTTTTTTCTTTTTTGAGACAGTTTCATTTTTGTTGCCCAGGTTTGAGTGCAATGGCGTGATCTCAGGTCACTGCAACCTCTGCCTCCCAGGGTTCAAGTGATTCTCCTGCCTCAGCCTCCTGAGTAGCTGGGATTACAGGCGCCCGTTACCATGCCCAGCTAATTTTTGTATTTTTAGTAGAGACGGGGTTTCACCATGTTGGCCAGGCTGGTCTTGAACTCTTGACCTAAGGAGATCCACTCACCTCAACTTCCCGAAGTTCTGGGATTATAGGCGTGAGTCACCATGCCTTGCCCTCTGTTATTGTATTCTGTGGACTTTTTAAAGAATGCTCACCCCACCTACTAAAGTGACTCCATGACCCACTTATGGGTCTTGATCCACAGTCTGAAGGGCATTGCATTAGGGCCAGCCCAGGGCGAGTGGCCTTAGCTGGGCTGGCTATAGCGTGTAGCAGAGGTCAGTATGGAAAATGGCCCTAGGTGCATTCTGGGGCTCCCCTTGGGGAAGGTTCCTCTTGTGGGGGGTTCCCTAGAGGGTATTTCCTCCCTGTAGTCATCACATTCCAGGGGCCAGTTTTCCACTTTGTAGGCCTAGAAATCCAAGTTGGTTAGGAGCCTTGGAGGTGGCTGAGTTGAGGGGTGACTCACACTGCAGCCCAAGTGTAAATATCAGAGTGCTGATTCAGTCGCTCACGGTGAGGATCCAGCTACCCAGTGGGCTGTGTTCACCCATCAGCACCTGTTCTCCAGTAGGGAATTCTACCCAGAAGTCCAAACTGTCATCAGAAGGTGCTTGGCCAGCACAGTCCTGGAGCAAGGGAGTTAGGAGAAGCCCGGAGATACCTGCTGCGCACCTGGGAGGCCTGAGCATCTCTCCGGGATACTCTCGAAATGCCTGCCTCCCGGCCTCCTTGGTCCTCACCACCTGTGCTGACCCACCTCTTTGGCTGACCTGTCAAATCTCTTGTTCTGTCCTCATCTATGTCTGCACAGTTGAAGCTTTCTATTTCAAGTTCTGGTGGTGGGCGATGGGGCTGGTTGTGTGCATGGTGGCCTCCCATGGCTGCCCTGCAGGTGAGGTGGGTGGCACATGTGTTGGGGGAGTAGCAGGAGCTCCCTCTGATTTACCTTCAGGTAGTCCAGAGATGTGTGGCCAGGGTCTACTCATCAGCAATAACCATACGCGGCTCTTTATTGAGTGCTTTGTAGAATGCTGGGTACAGTGCTAAGCACTTCACTGGCACTCTCATTTCTTTCCCATAACCATCTGATGAAATAGTACTACTTTCCCTGTTTTGTGCATAAAGAGATAAAGGCTTAGAGAGGTCAAGTGGCTTGGCCGAGGTCACTGAGTAAGCCAGTCGACAGGTGGCCCTAGAAACTGTCTGTGAATATATATGTGTGCTCTGAAAGGACAGGGACCATGCCTCCCCATAAGCTCTGACTCCCTAAGGGTAGGACTGTTCCCCCCTCAGTAGCTTCCCTCCCCACCTTGCTAGCCTCCCTGAAGTGCCCAGGGCAACATGTGGCACAGCAGGGGTGCTCTGTTGCATGCTTGCTGACAGTCACGGACAGGGGACCAGCCTCTTGCCAAAGAGAGAAGGCCTGTGGGAGCCTCAGACCACAGAGGAGTGACTGCGTGGATGCACCAGACCATGGCTGGGTGACTCAGCGGCTGGCTGACAGATGGATGAATGGACGTCAGTCCTATGGTGTGGCCCTTCCCTTTTCTCCCCGGAACAATAACACATCCTGGCTCCGTGATTTCGTCGCCATAGGAACTGGAAAACATTTGATAACATGGAGCCTCTGGGACAGGTGGGCTGAGCAGGTCTGAATAAAAACAACCCTTTCCTGCCCCTTCACCCAGAATCCAGGCATCTGGTCTATTTGCAGCAGGTTAGGTAAATAGCCTGGGGGGAACCATGCAGCCACCTGAACTGACCGACCTTGTCCAAACTAGGAAGTCAGGGAAGTCACTGTCTATGCTGGCAGGACCTGGCACAAATTCCTGGTAGGAGGAAATGGGGCCTCAGGCACCCTGTCTGGACATTCTGAGTATCCTATGGTGTGCCTGTCCCCAGCACATGTGGGCTCTGTCCTGGACACTGTGGGGAATTAGAAGAAGGAAAGAAGGGGGACAGGGCTCCAGGCTCAGAAAGCACGTGGTCTGCTAGGGGGCAGGGCACATATAGAAACAGTCCTATTAGGTCCCAGTCCTAGCACAGATGGGGAATTACACGGATCAGTAGGGAAGGAGTTGGGAGGTAGGTTCTGGGAGGGGATGGGGTTTGGTGGAATGGACCAGAATTCTCCATTCCCCAGCAAGCCCTAACCAAGTGTGGCACCGTGCTCACATGCACAATCTGGGTCCTGGGGTGACTGCTGGGGGCCAGGGCACTGCATTCTCTTACTGGCTTGGCCGTCTCAGCCTTCTCTGCCTGATGCTTTTTGGTTCTACGGTCCTTGCTTTTACTCTTCCAGTGCTGTTGGGCACTTTCTATGTAGGGCACTTGACTTGGACATCTTTTTTTTAAATTTTAATTTAATTTTTAATTGACAAATAATAATTGCATCTATTTATGGAGTACAATGTGGTTTTTTTTTTTTTTGAGTTGGGGTCTTGCTCTGTCACCCAGGCTGGAGCGCAGTGGTACCTTTGTGGCCCACTACAGCCTGAAACTCCTGGGCTCAAGTGATCCTCCTGCCTCAGGCTCCCGAGTAGCTAGGACGCCAGGTGCACACCACTGTGCTGGCCAGTGTGATGTTTTGATACACGATACATTGTGGAATGACCAACTGATCATCTAGATGTCAATATGCCCCACCCGCCCCTAAGATTATGCACACTCACCCCCTACACCAAATGTCTCTTCTTCCCTAAAGCACTGACAACATTCCAGGGTTAAGCATTCTCTATATCCAGCCTGTTGCCAATGTCTAAGGAGTCTCAGACAGCAAACCTCTCACAGGGGCCTCCCTTCCTTTCCCCACAGCCAGTGCCCTTGGCTGAGGTCACATCTTGCACAGGACCCCCTGGGGTCATGCCCTGGGGAAACTGTGTTGCCTCTCTCCTCCTCCTTGCTCCCAGCCCATGGGCGACAAAGGCCTGTCAACTGTGGCCTAGTAATGTTTTCCATAGGCAGCCTCTAATTAGTCTCTGTCTCCTGGCTCTGTCCCCTCACGTCCTCCTCCCTGCAGAGTCAGAATCCACTATTTTTTTTTTTTTGAGATGGAGTTTCGCTCTTTTTGCCCAGGCTGGAGTGCAGTGGCGCAATCTTGGCTCACTGCAACCTCCACCTCCTGGGTTCAAGCGATTCTCCTGCCTCAGCCTCCCGACTAGCTGGGATTACAGGCATGTGCCACCACACCCGGCTAATTTTGTATTTTTAGTAGAGATGGGGTTTCTCTATGTTGGTCTGGCTGGTCTCAAACTCCCAACCTCAGGTGATCTGCCCACCTCGGCCTCCCAGAGTGCTGGGATTACAGATGTGAGCCACCGTGCCCAGGCAGAATCCACTTTCTAACACACAGCTCTGGTCCCAGCACTCCTGCTCAGAAACCATCAATGGTCCATCCCAAGTTCATGTTCAATGTGTAGGCTGAAGCATAGCATTCCAGAGCCCTGCCCAGGGTTAAGTAGTTCATTCTGGGTACTTGGGGAAGTTGCCCTGCCAGCCTTTGTCTCCTCTCCTGTAAGGTCATGGAGGAGGTGGGAGCTCTGCAGAGCACCCCCGTCCTGGCCCTCCACAGGCCTGTGAAATGATTTGCTCATGGACCCAAAGTGAGTATGTGGGTGCAAGGCTGTGCTTTGATTCCAGGAAAATAAATGGACAGAAGCAGAGGGAAGGAGGGGAATCCAGGGTTTTCCGATACCAGCCAGCCTGAAGAGAGGAAAGGGGAAAAGAGATACACAAAAGCATATGAGGTAGCAGGACCTGGCCGTGGGCCTTTGTGGCTGATCCAAAGAGGTTCAGAATCTTAAGTATGTTCTAGGACTGACACAAGAGGGGCTGGACACCATCATTTCCTCTGCCTCAGGGTGTCAGCCCACAAGAAATGAGATGGCTCCAGGTCCAAGTCCTGCCAAATTCTCTGTAGAATATGTTTACAATCTGGTTATCTTGGAAACTTCCCCACCCTAGTCCAGGTTTACTATTTACCAAAAACAAACAAATTAAAGAGCCAAGCATCAGAAATGATGCAAGTTCCGTGTCAGCTCTCAGAGGCCGTGAAACACCTGGGCAATCAGCAAGGGTGTGATGTCATCCGGAGAAATGCTTGGCTCACAGACATCTCTGGTCACATGGGGGCTTTCCCCACTGAGCTCAGTGTTTCTGATGGACAACCAAGACACAACAGAAACTATGTCACAATAAACTCTGTAAGTCATGTGATGGAACACAAAGCTGTAGCCACAGAGCAAAGATTGAGAGCAAGCATTACTTAGCAGAATCTGGCTCTGCTGGGATGCTGGCCTGCTTTTTGCTTTGGCTGGAAAGTCAGCTCCACTGCAATTTCAGCCACTCTCCTTCCAGGAAAGAAGCTCTCTATGAAAGGGTTTTATCAGAGGCACCAGCTCTAGAATTTCTTTAGCAAAAATCCTGAACTCAACACCAGTCTTCCCTACTGAGCTGCTGTCTCCTTGTGTGGGCTTGGCCTCCACGTCTGCCCCCAGGGAGAGGCAGGCAGCCTGAGCCAGCCACTCCTTCATCCCAGACCAGAGTGGCCCACATGGAGGCTTTAATGATTACTGGTTTAAGCCAAGGGAAGGGTATGGATTTTTGCAGACAAAGCATTCTGCTCAGAAAATGCCTGGTAGCAAGTTGAGAATTTTAGGAAGCAGAAAGGTAAAGAGGCATCGCGATGGGAGCAGGCTGTAGCCTACACCATTCTCTTGCCCTCATTCTTCCAGACTCCCACTCTTTGCAAAATAGCTGTTGACCACCTGGAATCCTGGCACTGGGCCCAATGATGTGGGCAGTTCATAAGTGGACAACCAGGTCACTGTCCTCAAGGGGCTTTTGTTCTACTCAGGAAAATAAAACTGCCACAGCCCAATGCAATAACAAGCAATAGAGAACAGCATGCAATCTACCATAACACCGGAGCAGAAATGCCACACAGGGGGAAAAGCACAGATGTTCCCAATGCAACTGAATTCTAGCCCAGCCACTCACTAGCAGCTGTGCGACTTTGGGCAAGTTGCTCAAACTCTCTGAGCCTCAGTCTACACATCTCTGAAATGGAGATAAAAATGCCTACCTCACAGGGCTGTTGTGAAAAATGAAATAATGGCTGCAAAACAGCTGGTCAAATGCCTGGCACATAGCAAGTACTTAGGAAATCATTATAGTCCCCTTAATTCCTTTTAGGGCCAAGATGTGCTATCAATAGATGAATCATTTATATCTGATCTCTAACCTCGGAGCAAATTAGAAGCAATAAAGTGAAAGTACTAGAAGGGCAGCTCAAAAGCAGCAAGGAAAACTCACACATGAAAGCCTAGTGGTGAGGGAATGCCTGGAAACAAGTATAAAAGTAGATGCAAAGACAAAGTAACACCTGGGGACTACCTAGTTGGGCAGCAAACAGCCACAACCTCCAAGGCCATCATCACATTACAAGACAGCAGAATAGATGATGTTTGTAACAAATATGTTCAATAACCTCTAAGATGCCAGGGATGCGTGTAGCATATTTTAAAAGTATTTTCATCCAAAATATGTAACATGTACAAAATTCTCTTAAAAGTGTGTGTGGATACTGTCCAGAAAATTCCTCTGCCACAATTTCCAAGTGGATGCATTAGCTGGGTTTTTTTTTCTACTTCTCTACTTCTCTTGTATTTGACAGAGAGCTTAGAGTCATGCTGAGCACATCAGGAGGGCTTAACAAATCCCTGTTTACTAATGAATCCGTACAGCACTGGAATATGGTTTGTTCTGTTTTCCATTTTCAACCATTGTATGCATTAACTGATTGAGGTCAAGGATGGGCTCCAGCTTCTCTTTGAAATAGCTGATATCTCCAGGCTCCCCTGGCACCCCCACTGACCTGTTCCTCTTTCCATATTCCGGATTTTAGTTAATGGGGCATCATCTACCAGAGAGCAAAATGTTAACAACAAAGATAATAGCTACATTAGTCAAATTAGTGTGTCACCTGTTCTAAGCACTTGCTAGGATTCTGGCTGTCTGTGTATGTCACCTCACAGGGTAGGATTAGTTATTTAGGTTTTTAGATTCAGAAGGTGACAGTCAGAGAGGTTAACTTACTTTGTACATCACCCATCTGTTCGCATCTGACCCCAACTCGCTCTGCTTGCAGTCCCAGGGTCCTGTTGTTCATGGGGGTGGTGGTGGGGAGTGCTTGGCCACAGCTACTGCCCAGGGATCCCCACCCCTCCCGCTGTCCCCCTTACATTCTCTAACCCCCTGAGCTGCCAAGTCTGGGGTGAAACTCAAGGCCCTAGGCTTTGTGACATGCCTGTGGGGTTAGGCGATTTTCCACTTGCTGAGGCTGAAGATGACCCCGAGAGCAGGAGTGTGGCACCTCACCCAAGGTGAGGATGTCCCCAGGATTCAGAAGAGCCTGGCCACACTCCTTACCTGTCTGGCCTCTGCCCGGCTCCTGGCTGGTGTCAGCCACTGCTGGCTGCTGCCCGAGGGCAGAGGGTGCTGGTCCTGAGCAGAGATGCCCCCTGTTCACCAGTCCTGGCCTCCCAGCCTGGGGTATGCCTCCCACCCCCTGCCTTGCCCTGCTTCCGGGGTCTCCAACAGAAGGCTCTCAACTCCCCCCGCCCCACGACCAAAATGTCTCCTTCCATTTTCCACTTCATTTTTGACTTTCATTTTTTAAACGTAAAAAAGACTAAATCCTTTTGGGAATTATCCCATGAGTAAATAAGATCTCTCTGTGTTCACAAATTCCTGCTTTGAGCAATTGGAGACTGCTCTTCCTTTCCCTTCTGAGGCCTAAAGCCCATCAGTGGTCCTGGAAATACAAGGTGAGCTTCCCTGTCTTGGAATCCTTATCCTTCCCCTCTACATACACAGATTGGAATGGGGAGGTGAGCCCAGCAGAGAAAAGGAAGTCTGCTGGGTTTTGGAATTGGAAGCTGGACTCTGCCATTTACTTGCCGTGTGACCCTGAGTGAGTGGAGAGCTCTAGGTTTTGTTTTCCTTATATCCGAAATGGGAACTGAAACTGTTCCCTCACATGTGAGTTTAACAGAAGGAGCCTCCCCTCCCCCACCTATCCAGCATGCAATAAAGTTCTTGGTATGCGCTAAATTCTTGTCTGAATTCTACTGATGCCCATGTCTTCCACGAAGTCTTCCAGATTATCCCAACTGTGGTAGACAGCTAACTAACTACCCTGTATCTACTTCCTCCACTTCTTCACTAACAGAATCCCAATGTTGCTTTGGGGAGCAATGTGTCCAGCTAACAAACTTCCCAGGCTTCCTGGCATTCAGGGGCTCATGGGTCACAGGTAAGGCCAATGAGATGAAAATGGAAGCATCTGGGGATGACTTCCGAGAAAGCCCTTTAAAGGAGGCTGACTCCACGGATGTGTGCTCTGCTGCCTCTTACCCTCTTTTCTCTTTTATTCTATGGGATGAGAATATGATGTCTGGAGCCACAGTGGCCATGTCACGACCATATGGCAACCTTGAAGATGGAAGTCACATCACATCCTAAGTATGGCAGAGCAAAAGGGTAGAAGGAGCCTGGGAAACTGAGGTGTGGCGAGGAGCTGCAACGCAAGCTCTGGTCCACCAGACTCCAGGGATTATGTGACATGAGGAAAGAAGAAACCAGTCCTGCTGGGCTATTGGCTGGTGTTCAGCACCTGGCAAGGTGGCTAGAACTTGTGAGGCTCTCAGTACATTTGATGTTAACTGGCAGGTACCAAGGGAGCAAGATGAGAAAGGAGATGGAGGAGGCTGGAAGGCTGTTCAGATTTGATCAAATGTCCCACAGTTTATCCTATAGATACATTACCTGCACATAACATTATGTGTGGGTGAGTTTATTCACTGCAGTATTAGATGCAATAGCAAAAAACTAGAACCAGCCTAAATGTCCATCAATGGGACATTGTTTAAATACATTATGGTTCATCCATACATTGAAATATTATATTTTTGTACAGTTCTTGAGCTAAGCATGGTTTTTACATTTTTAAATGTTTAAGGGAAAATTAAGAATAATATTTATTTATTTATACATATATTTTTGAGACGGAGTGTCACTCTGTCACCCAGACTGGACATTGCAGTGGCTATCGGCTCCCTGCAACCTCTGCCTCCCGGGTTCAAGGGATTCTCATGTCTCAGTCTCCCCAAGTAGCTGCGAATACAGGTGTGTGCCACCACACCCAGCTAATTTTTGTATTTTTAGTACAGATGGGGTTTCACCATGTTGGCCAGGCTGGTCTGGAATTCCTGACCTCAGGTGATCCACCTGCCTTGGCCTCCCAAAGTGCTAGCATTACAGGCGTGAGCCACTGCACCTGGCCAAGAATAATATTTTGTGATATATGAAAATTACATGAAATTCAAATTTCAGTGTCCATAAAAAAATTTCACAGGAACACAGCCACATTCATTAGTTTAGGTATCATCTGTGGCTGCTTTTGTACTACCATGCAGTATTGAAAAGTTGTGAGAGGAGGCCTATGGCTCTCAAAGCTGAACGTATTTTCTACCTGGCTCTTTACAGAAACCATTTGTAAGGCCTTATGCAGACATCTCTGGAAAGCTGCAGGAGAAACTAACCACAGCTGGAAAGTGAGTGTCCACAGGATAGGGTCAAAAAGGAGACTTCTTACAGCATAACTTTTGTATGTTTTGAATTTTGAATCGTGAATGTTTAACCTACTGTAAGCTTACTTTGAAATCTATTTATTTATTTTTAATTTTTTTAATTAAAAAAATAGAGATGGGTTCTTGCTATGTTGCCCAGGCTGCTCTCAAACTCCTGGCCTCAAGCGATCCTTCTGCCTCAGTCTCCCAAATTCCTGGGATTATAGCTGTGAGCCACAGCATCCAGCCCTTAATTTGAAATTTAAAAAGAAAAAAAGAAAAAGGGCCCCATTTCCCCTCTGGGACTGAAGGAAGAGGAAGAAGAGATGGAAGAAGGGGTGGCTAACTTAGTGCTGGTCTGGGTGAGGTCATGGGCCTACAGTGGAGAGGCTGCAAGGTGATCCCAGACTTGCCCTCAGCCTTGTGCTTGCTACGTGACCCAGGACATTCCCCTTCCCTGTGGGCAAGTGGTCAGTGCTGCCCATGTGCCTAGAGGCCCTGGCCCAGAAAGGGGCCAGAAGATTGGCCTCCATCTCTCTGCCTGCAGGGGAAACAAGAGAAATGGACACGTACACCCGGACTGTGGCCTCATCAGTAGCTGATAAACAAGAAGCAGAGTGGATTGGGAATGTGGAATGGTGAGAAGGACATGGAC
Organism: Homo sapiens; assembly: GCF_000001405.40. Taxonomy (NCBI): domain Eukaryota; kingdom Metazoa; phylum Chordata; class Mammalia; order Primates; family Hominidae; genus Homo; species Homo sapiens. Next base: position 212,493,912 of record NC_000001.11, read on the forward strand.
ACTGGATTTTAGTTCTGCTTAGCCACCAACTGTCCCTGTGACCTTAGATTGGCCATTTTCCCTTCAGGGCCCAGCTCTATCCCTGCCAACTGGGGCCTTGACCAGAATGATGGTCCTGCAACTGCCATTCCTCTACCCCTTCCACCCACTCCCTTCTGTTTAGCCTATTGGGCATCCACTCAAGACTTCACAGAGGCCCTGGATTGAGAAAATGACAACATACAAGTCAAAACAATAGCCGGTGTGCTAAATAATCTGTAGGACACATGGTTCTGCCACTCCATAGCTCTGAGAGCCTCCCCTGGTACAAGTTCTTCAGGCAGAGAAGTCCAGGAAACACCCTTCAGACACAGGCAGAGCAGTGGGGACACCACAGCCCTGGATGATATCCAGTCTGGCAAAGCAATGGCAGGCAGGAGGTGGCGGGAGGGGTTCATGGACATGGTGGAGGGCTTCTCATGAGCAAACCCAGGTGGATGCACTAACACCCTGAGTGCTGGGAATTCATGGCTGCAGCTCCAGAAGATCCTTGAGGAAGTCCTGCTGGCGGCGAAGCCCACACGGACATGGCGTTCTGTGGAGGTCTGTCCATCTGAGCAAGGTGTGTGGCTGCATCCTCCTGGCCCTCATAGTGAGGACCAGCCAGCTCAGAGGACAGCCAACATCCTCAGAGGGTGCTAGCTATGTCCTCAAGGCTCCCTCAGGCCTGGAAGCCTTTCCTCTCCCTCTTCTCTATCAAGCCCCCATGCCTTGTTCATGACCCTGCTCAAAACTTTCCTCTTGAACCCACGAGCTAACTTGAAGGGGCTGCTGATGGCCGAAAATGAGATAGTTGGAGCCACAAAATAAATAATGATCACAATAGATTATAACTTACAGCATTTAAGGATAAAACAAGAAGTAATGAGTCTATACCAATAGAGGTAAATATTCGAATAAGCAAATAAACAGGCAAGAAGGGAGAGTTCTTCCTTAAAGCAGCATTATAATTAGTAGGAATTAGAAGGCATGATGGAAATAGAAAACACTTGGCAAACACTTACCATTATAGTTGTGTTAAGCAAGAATCATCAATGGAAACAAACACTCATGAGCGAAAATGTAGAGAAACAAGATGCTTACATTATCTCAAAGCGCCTTCCCATAAGATGGTTAGTAATTGCAAAGAGAAAAGTAGTCACTTTATAGTAGGAAAAATGTGGCAGACTCCACCTTAACCAGGTGATCAGAGTTAACATAATAAATAATAGAACATATCAACCTCATGTACCATCTGATATAATGTACCAAGAAAGGCACAACATAAACTTATGTGGTGCTCTTAAAAAATTTGGCTGAGCGTGGTGGCTCATGCCTGTAATATCAGCACTTTGGGAGGCTGAGGCAGGAGGATCGTTTGAGTCCAGAAGTTTGAGATCAGCCTGGGCAACATAGGGAGACCTTGTCTCTATAAATAATTTAAAAATTAGCCGTAGCGTGCTGTGGAGTGTGCCTGTAGTCCCAGCTGCTCAGGAGGCTGAAGTGGGAGGATCACCTGAACCTGGGAGGCGGACGTTGCAGTGAGCCAAGATCGTGCCACTGCACTGCAGCCGGGGTGACAGAGTGAGACCCTGTCTCAAAATAAATAAGTAAATAAATAAGTAAAGAAAAACATAAATAATAAATAAATAATTCACAACCTGAGGAAATACCAGCTAAACCCAAATTGAAGGACATCCTACAAAATAAGTGTCTAGTATTCTTCAAATGTTTGAAGGTCATGAAAGTGTAAGTGTAAGCTGAGGAACTATCCCAGACTAGAGGAAACAAGGAAGCTTGGCAACAAATGCTCTATGTGATCCTGGATCGGCTCCTGGTCAGATAAGGACATTTGTGGGGCAATTGACAAAATTTGAATCAGGTTTGTAGTTATGTCAATTTCCTGGTTTTGATGATGCACTGTAAACATGTAAGATGTTAACATTTGGGGAAAGTGGGTGAAGGGTATCGGGAATTTTTTGTACTATTTTTGCAGCACTTATGTAACTTAGAAATGGTTTTTGACAAAACAAAACAAAAACCTCTTCTGTCCAACTTCCCCAGAATCACTCCCACAGCTGTGTCACCAGCTACTTCACACGTTGCATTGCTATTGTTTACACATCTGTGTCCCTCAGGCTTTGAGTTCCAGGACAGGGACTCTGTTTCTTCAATCTTCAGTTTGGCCTCATTTTAGAAGTCACGTTTGGATGGAGGCTGGCTGTCCCTCTTCAGAACAACTCTCCACTCTACCCCTTCATTATCCCACAGTAAAAAGCAGCGCTGTCCACTCTGTTGCTCAGACAAAATCGTAAGGGTCACAGTTGACTCTCTTTTTGTCTCATCCCACGGTGGGTCCACCAGCAAGTCCTGTTGGAGTTCTGCCTCCAGAGTTTATCACCAACCAGATCACTTCCCTGCTCCTCCGCCAGACCCCTCATCTGAGCCTCCATCACTTTGCAGCTGAACCTGAGCCTCACCTTCCTAGCCGACTTTCCCCTGCCTCACCTTCAAGTCCACTTGGGGCAGCCAGAGGGATCTTTTCAAGGGGAAAGTAGGGTCTCACATCACTCTTTGCCTAAAACCATTCCCCGCATTGGTTTCCCAGCATGTACTATGAAAGTCCCTACCTGCTCTGGGGCCCTGCCTTCCTTCTGCCCTCAGCTTGAACCTGTCCACCCTCCCTCACCTGGCTCCAGACACACACCTTTCAGCTTTGCTGCAGATATGGCAGGTTTGTTTCCATCTCTAGGATGTGGATTTTCCCCGGCTTTTCCCACAACCATCTCCTTCCCAATATTCAGGTCTCAGCCCCAGTGTCACCTCCTCAGATAGACCTTACCCGATCTGGTAGCCAAAATCCTGCTCTTCCCCTAACACTCTTTGTCCCTATATTAGTTTGCAGTGGCTGCTGTAACAAAGTGCCACTAACTGAGTTACTTAAAAGCAACAGAACTGAACTGTGTCACAATTCTGGAGACTACAAGTCCAAGGTCAGGGTTGGTTCCCTCTGGGAGCTGTGGGGGAGAATCTGCCCCAGCCCTCTCTCCTGGCTCCTGATGGTTTGCTGGCGATCTCTGGTGTTCCTTGGCTTGTAGAAACATCGCTTCAGTCTCCACCTTTATCTTCACATGCATTCTTCTTGTGTACATGTCTGTCTCCAAATTTCTGTTTTATAAGGACACCAGTCATATTGGATTAGGGCCCACCCTACTGACTTCATTTTAATTAGATTACCTCTGTAAAAACCCTATCTTTTCATGCCACTGCACTCCAGCCTGGGCGACAGAGCGAGACTTTGTCTCAACAACAACAACAACAACAACAACAACAACAAAACCTATCTCCAAATAAGTGTACTAGGGATTCATGCAGAACCCCTAGTTTTTTTGTGGAAACATAGTTCAACCCATAACAGTCTCATTTCCATGTTACATTTAATTTACAGCCTTTATAACCATTTTGAAGTATATTGTTTACTTGTTTGTGTTCATTTCCTGTGTCCCCACACTATATCCAACATAAGCTACATGAGGACAGAAGTCTCCTCCAACCTCAGTGCTTGGTGCTTTTGCTCTGCACAGGGGGATCTAGCCTCTATTTCTACTGCATGGGTCAGGATACCTCTCTCAGGCTGCCCCAAATGAGAGGAACTAGCCCTGCCCTCACTCAGTTTCCACAAGCAGCCAATGGGATTGTTCCACATGCATTACTTAGCTCAGTGTCCAGCCAAAGGTTTGCAGCATCCAACCCTGGATCCAGCCATGAACTTCAGAGCTTCAGAAATGCCCTACATATAGTAAATGCTCAGTAAATACTTGCTGAAGGAATGAAGGCTGCATATAGTTTGGACTTTGACTCAGGTTGCGTGCCCTGCAGTCAGGGGGAACTATTAGCATAAGCTGATAGTTCCAGGCAGCCGCTGTGGAGCTAGACTGCTTGGGTCTGCGCTTGTGCTGTGAGATGTGGGCATGTTACTTATCTACTCCTTGCTTTGCTTTCTCCAACTGTAAAATGGGGACAATAATAAAAGTAATAAAAGTATCTCCGTAGTCGAGTTGTACAAAACGAGTTTACATATGCGGACAGAGTGCCTGGCTGAAGGTAGTGCTCCATGCTCACCCAGGCTTGGTCTGAAATCTGAGAAATGTCCTGGTAGCCAAAAGAACCAAAGCCCAGAGAGGCTTGTCGGGTCCATCAGGGATGCAGAAGCTCCAGGTTTCTGCTCAGGCCCCCGCTTCAGAATCCCCATCTGCCCCCAAGGAGAGAACAATTGAGCACTAGGGAGATTTTGACCATAAAAGCTTTTTTCAGTTACTAGCTGGGTGGACCTTGGGGTTTCATTGGTGCTTCTGGCTGATTGAGAAGGAAAAAGAGGATCTAACTCCTCCCACTCTTTCTGAACTCCTGAAGCGAGGTGTGGAGCTTCCAGATGACTCAAGCAGCGCCAGTTCCTTGGAATTAGCCACTCTGGCTCAAAACCATCTGTGTTGCAACAGGCTCACTCAGCCACCCCCAGAAAAGCTGACCCACCACTCACTCAACTGGCTTTCTGATAAGTATGCCTATATATAGCCATACTTACCGAGCTTTGTATAGATGCATGCACTTGGAAACCAGCAAAGCTAAAAATACCGCCTCCTCATACCTAATTTACTTATTTTCTGTAGGTTCCTTATTCTAAATTTATAGCTCAGGAGACTGAAAATTGTTGCCAGAAAGCAGTGACCTTTCTGTGGTCGTGGGCGGGAGGGGGACCAGAGGACAGGCCCTGTCTGGGAAACTTGGGGATTAGGTCTCAGTCCCAGCTCTAAAGGCAACGTGCTGTGATGCTTTGGGATATCCTCCCTCTTGCTGGGCCTCAGCATCCCTCAACCGAAGGAACAACTGAACATGATGGTGTAAGGTGTTTCTTTTGTCCTTCTATTCATTGGCACCCAGCTTGATGTGCTAAGTGCAATTGTACTCACGGGAAAAGTCAATACAGATACACCAGAGCCATTGATTTCTGTTCATTCATTCACTTGACAAATATTTACTGAGCACTTGCTATGTGTGAGACAATAATCTCTACTCTCAGATAACTTATAACTTACATTCAAGTCAGAAGAGACAAATAATAAACAAAATATAGTAAGCATTTAGTATGTTTGATTGTGATAAATGTCATGGAGAAAAATCAAAAGGAGGGTATAGAAGAAGGGTGTAGTTTTAATTAAGGAGGTTAGAGAAGACCCCACCAAAAGGTGTGGTTTTTTTTTTTTTTTTTTTTTTTTTTTTTTTTTTGAGACGGAGTGTTGCTCTGTCTCCCAGGCTGGAGTGCAGTGGTGTGATCTCAGCTCACTGAAACCTGTGCCTCCCGGGTCCGAGTGATTTCCCTGCCTCAGCCTCCCAAGTAGCTGGGACTACAGGCACACGCCATCACACCTGGCTAAATTTTGTATTTTTAGTAGAGACGGGGTTTTTGCTGTGTTGGCCAGGTTGGTCTCGAACTTCTGATCTCAAGTGATTTGTCCACCTTAGCCTCCCAAAGTGCTGGGATTACAGGTGTGAGCCACTGCACCTGGCCAAAACGTGGTATTTGACTAAAGACGTGAAATGCCCAGTAGTGCAGGGAGATAACCACACAGACACCGGGAGGAAGGGTCCCAAACAGAGAAGACACCAATGCCAAGGGCCCCAAGGGAGGAGCGTTGCCTAGTGAATTTGAGGCCACTGTGGCTGGAGCAGAGTGAGCAGGGAGACAGTGCTAGATGCTGAAAGCGAGAGGGAACATGGGCTGTTGTGATGACATTGGCTCTTACTCCAAATGGAAGGGGACACCATTGGAGGGCTTTGAGCTAAGGAGGGACCTCTGCTGACTTTTGCCTTCCCAGGGTGGTCTGGCTGCTGAGTTAGTTCACAGCCGACTGCAGAAGCACAAATGTGGAGGCCGAGAGACCTGTAAGGAGAGTATTGCAGACTAGGCAGGGGTGGTGGGGGAGATGGGGAGAAGTGGTCAGAATCTGTATGCAGCCTGAAGGTTTTGCTGATAGATTGGGTGTGGGGATGAGAGTAACAGAGGCCAGGTGTCACTCTAAGGCTTTTGGCCTGAGCAATGATGGAAATGCCATGAATTCAAGTAGAGAAGATTGTGGGAGGAGGAAAGACCAGGAACTCTGTTTTGGACCTGTGAGGTGGGAGATACCTCTTAGACCTCCCCGTGGAGGCCATGAGTGGGCAGTTGGATGAATGAGTCTGGAGTTCTGGAGAGGGTCTGTGCTGGACATACACATTTGAAAGTCATCTGCATGTACCTATACATGTTACATAAAGCCACAGTCCTGGGTGAGATCGCTGAGATGGGCCGTGTGGGTGTGTCCAAGCACTAACTCTGGGGCACATCCACATTCAGAGAGGAGGTGAGGAGGTGAGAAGAAACCAGCAAAGAGGGAGAGAAGAATCAGCCAGGGAAGCATGGGCTTCAGTTTGTCTATAACAAAGGGGGCCTTTAGGGTCCCCTCCTAGTTTTTCTCTGGGATGCTCCTGGGACGCAGGCTCCTAACTTAAGGTGTCCCTTGGTATGCTGGCATCCACAGCTGGTCACAATGAGAAGTGCGGGGAGTAGGAGGCTGGCAGCCCTGCTCCTCCTGTGGAGGGGAGAGGGCCCCAGGCTGGCAGGACGAGGGATGTGCTTCACTAGGCCTGGAGAGGCAGGAGCCGGCTTCGTCCTGACACTGCTTTCCCCCTGGACAAAGAGAAGCTTAGGTTTTCTCTTGTGACAGAAACCAAAAGAGGAATAACTGCTTGGGTTATTAACCATGAATATAGTTCTGAGCGTTTTTAACAAAAAGGAGCAGAGTGGTCTCTAACTGATATCTCTATTCACTTCTCCCTAGCACCTTGAGAATTTGAAAAACCTTTCTTCTTTGCCTGCCCAGAGATAATGCCCAAGTCAGGGTTTTCCTTAGGACCTCTAGGATCTAATAATGGACAGAGCAACTGGAAACAGCTGGAGTGTCAGGCCTGCAGGCTTCTGGGACTGAGAGTGCCAGCTTGGCCCTGCCAGGGTCTGAGCCTGACCTGATTCCAAATGGAACCTTGAATTGTTTCTCAGTGTGCCCACACTTCAGCTCAGCTAGGGCTTCCCAGCTTGTCTTACTACCACTAATTAGTCACTTTCATTGCATACTTACTGCATGCTATGGTTTGAATGTCCCTGCCAAAACTCATGTTGAAACTTAATTACCATTGCAATAGTATTTAGAGGTGGGGCCTTTAAGAACTGATTAGGTCATGGGGGCTCCATCATCATACATGAGTTAATGCCCTTATTATGGGAATGATTTAGTTATCTCAGGAGTGGCTTTGTTATAAAAGCATGCTCTCTCTCCCTTTCTCTCTCTCTTTCTCTCTCTTCTACACACGTGTTCTCTTGCTCTTCTGTCTATTTGCCATGGGATGACACAAGAGGAAGACCCTTGCCAGATGGCAGTGCCATTCTCTTGGACTTCCCAGTCTCCAGAACCAAAAGTCATAAATTTCTTTTCTTTACAAAATACCTAGTCTGTGGTATTTTGTTATAGCAGCAGAAAACAGACTAAGACACTGTGTCAAGGATTTGACATATAACACATTTTATCCACAAGAATCCAACTAAAAAACTCATAATGATTGAATTCAGATACAACAGAACTGGCTCCATGCTCTGCATCTCTTCTTTATCTTCACCATAAGGAGACTCCAAGTTTGGTGCAATTGAATTCTTTGGCTCCTACTTAAGGTGTTCTGATTGGGTTTTAGAGTATTAGTGTCTTTTGCAAACAAGAAAATTGAGGCTTAGAGATATTACTTTACTTGCCCAAAGTCACTCAGAAAGCTGGAGATTTGTACCCAGATATCTTGATTCTGTAGTGTGGGCTTCACCCTCCTGGCATAGGGCTCCCTTATGCCTTAGAAGTCAACTCACTTGACAGTTGGGAAAACCAAGGCCCAGAGAGGAGAAGGCCTCTGACAGAGTTGAACCAGGCCCAGGAGTCCTTTTGTGGGCTGCCTGCAGCTATTTAGTAGAAACTCTTGAAGTATACACCATGGGCATGACCCAGGGAGATGGTGGGGAGGTGGGGATACCACAGGGCAGAGCACTGGCATGGTGCCCCTGATGCTCGGTGGCCCTGTGACACTCAGCATGGTGCAGGACAGACAGGAACTCATCTGGGAAGGCAGAGATGGGCCAGTGGAAATCCTGCCCTTCAGCAATATACCAGTTGACCCCCCCGAACCACAATGTGGCATCACATCTCCTGCCTTCCCCAACTGCCTCCCCACCACCACACCTGCTGAGATTCCAAGCACTTTTCAAGGCCTGGCTCCCTTGACCTCCTCTGGGAAGTGTCTCCTCCACGCCTGCCCCAACCCACCTCCCTGCAGCACTCAGACTTGCTTCCTCTCCTTGTTAGGACATTCTAAAGGCCTTTCTCTATTGCTAGGCTCACAATGAAAATAACAAGCAGCAGGGCTGAGACTTAACTCCAAAGCCTGGGAGGAAGGTGGATTGGAGTTGGTAATGGTGGTGTGGTCTGGAATAGTGGCAGTGGAAATGGAGGAGATGGCTGAGGCAGGAGTATTGAGGAGATGAAATCACCCAGATTTCAAGGGTGAGGAGAAGAAGGAGGGGCAATGATAGCGCTGGTATCCTAAGCCTGAGCAGGGGACAGCAGGAGTGCTACCAAGAGAAATGGCTCCTCCCAGCCCCCTTTCCCAGCCATACCACACTCCATGGAGTCAGCCCAGGCCTCAGCCCAGAGCACAGAAGAAACTGATGAGGTGAGCATGCCAGAAACCAGGTCACAGAAATTAAAGAAATCCTACAGGGTCTAGATACATACATACATACATATGCATCTGTGTGTGTGTGTGTGTGTGTGTGTGTGTGTGTGTGTGTGTGTGTGTTAATCAGGTAGAATGACACATAAAGAAGCTCTATCTTGGCTTTTAGATTCAGTCTCTACTCTCTTCACACACTGAGACCACAGCCGGGCACATGTAGGAACATGCCCTCCTTCTAGAGATCTTGTGGGGACACACTGAGGAAATGTGTATTCATGGCAGAAACTTCTCTGAGGAACCCTGAGTTTCTTTTTCTTACTTCCAGCCTCCTGCCCCATGTCCACTGAGGTCTGGCCTATGGAATGTGGGGAGAGGGAGGTGGCCACTCCCGGGCCTGTCCCACTCACAGTAGCTTCCCGTGTGGTTCTCGGCCTTTTCCTCCTGTCTGGCCATAGGATGTCATTGCTCAGAGTATGGAAAAGGGGAGTGTCTTCTCAGGCTGGGCTCCTGAATGACAGTGTTTTCTCCCCATAACCAGGGTCAGCTACGCCATGCAGTGAACTACATCAGATTTTACTGTGGGCCAGGCGCGGTGGCTCACGCCTGTAATCCCAGCACTTTGGGAGGCCAAAGTGGGTGGATCATTTGAGGTCAGGAGTTCAAGACCAGCCTGGCCAACATGGTGAAACCCTGCCTCTACTAAAAATACAAAAATTAGCTGGGCATGGTGGCAGGAGCCTGTAGTCCCAGTGACTTGGGAGGCTGAGGCAGGACAATTGTTTGAACCCAGGAGGTGGAGGTTGCAGTGAGCTGAGACTGTGCCACTGCACTCCAAACTGAGCAACAGAGCAAGACTCCGTATCAAAAAAAAATTTTTTTTTAATTGTAGTAAGCCACTGTAGTTTGGGGGTTTAAGCATTGTGTCACCTCAGAGAATATGGATGTTACCTCAGAGAGTATGGGGAAGCTTTTTGAGAACTACAAGACAGTATAGGACTATAAGGTATTTTAGACTGCTCCCATGTTTAAATCCCAGGTTTTGCAGTCTGGGAAGGCTGTTTGGAAGGGGCAGTGGGGCAGGTGACACCAGCTTGGGTTGTGCTAGGACCAGCACTCCCCTGGGGTGACACCCACTGGCTGTGTGAGATCAGCTATGTCTCAGAGCCCAGGGACCACTCAGAATAAGCCCCTCCTTTATTATGCAGATGAGCTCACAGAGAGATAGGGAGCCTGAGGTTATGTGGTGCCTTCCCTGGTACCATGTGAGGACTGGCAACACGGATCCTTGTCATGGTGAAAAAATGACTGTGGAAGACGGTTATAGCAATGGCTCCCAATCAAGACGCCTCCTTGTTTCCACATCATTGTGTAGTCCCTGCCCACACTGGCTCTGGGCTTGACCATGAGATTTGTTTTGGCCAATGGAACATCAGCACATGTGATACAAGCAGAGGTTTGACAGGCACTGGTGCATCGGGGCTTGCTCCCTCTTGCTGCTGGGACCCCTTCTGCTATCACAGGAAGAAGTCTGGGCTAGTCTACTGGAAGGTGAGACCAGGGGGAGCAAAGACAAGTCAGGCCTGCTGAGTTCCACTAGTTCCCAGTTATTCTCAACCAAAGGACAACTTGGTCCTCCAGGGAAGATCTGGTAATGACTGGAGATATTTTTGGCTGTCCTACTGGCATCTAGTGGGCAGAGGTCAGAGATGCTGCTACACATCTTATAATGTGCGGGACAGTCCCCCCATAACAAAGAGTTACCCGGTCCCAAATGTCAGCAGTGCTGAGGTTGAAAAACCTGCCCATGAGCAACCAACCCACAGCTGACCTCCCAGCTGACTGCAGCCCTGTGAGTGAACCCAGGTGAGACAAACAGAAACTGCCCAGCTGATGCCACCCTAAGAATTATGAGTAATAAAAGAATGAGTGTTCTAAGCCGTTAAATTTTGGGGTGGATTTTTATGCAGTAAAGGCTGATACAGAACATTTGGCTAATGGGTCCATCACTGGGAATTTCCATACATGTTCTCACTCTTCATAACTGGGAATGTTGAGGTGGCTGGTCTGTGTGCATGCACACTCCATCCTGTGGATATTTACCTGTTTGGTGGTGTTTGTTACTCCTCCCAACCTCCTACTATTGTGGGCCAGTTACTGTACCAAGTACTCTGTAAGTATTAATTCATTTAATCCTCATGACAACCCCAAGAGGGATTTTTCCCATTTTACAAATGAGAAACTGAAGCTCAGAATAACTCACTTGTATGAATGGCCACATGAGGGTTTAGCTGTCTCTTACTTTTAATCAGTGAAGTTGACCTATCCGTGAAGAGGCAGATGCTCAGGGTCACATGTTTCCTAAATAGGGCCAGAATTTGGACGTCTAGCCCAGAGTCCATGCTACCTCCTGTCAGTGATGCTTCTTGGCCTCACTTTGTGCTCAGCCCTTTCATGGACTGGCTGCCCCTTCCCTACCCCAGTTGCTGCCCACTGGGAAGGTTTGGCCATTACTGCAGCTCCCAGGTGGCCACAGGTGTATCTCTCTTGTGATACATGTGCTTTGAAACAGCACTATCTAGAAGGGTGTGTGAGCCATGGTTCATAGGGTCAGACTCCAGCCTGGAAGCCCAGCTCCATTGCTATTCACGGTGGGATCTTGAGCAAGATCCTTAATGTCTCTGAGCCTGAGTTTCCTTGCTGGCAAAATGGGGCCAGTGTTACAATCAGGGTAGCACAGGACAAAGTCCCAGACACCTGTGATACAAGGCAAACAAAGGGCACCGGGTCCCTGCCCTCAGGGAACTTACAGTCTGATGTGGAAGAGAAACATGAAACAAGCACAAGAAGGGTGATAAGGGGCCAACCAAGTGTCAAGGTCGACCCGACAGGGTATGTGTAAGGATTAAATAGACAGTGATTGTGAATGCATTTAAAAATTGTCCAGTGGGGTGTGCTTGGAAGGTATCAGTGGAACGTAAATTCCAGGTTGCAGTGATTGATCTCTCTCTCTCTCTCTTTTTTTTTCAAGTGTTCATATGTAAAATTAAAAAAAAATTATTTCCATAGGTTACTGGGCAACAGGTGGTGTTCGGTTACATGAATCAGTTCTTTGGTGGTGATTTGTGAGATTTTGGTGCACCCATCACCCGAGCAGTATACACGCACCCAGTTTTGTAGGTTTTTTTTGTTTTTTTTTTTTAGATGGAGTCCCACTCTGTCTCCCAGGCTGGAGTGCAGTGGCACGATCTCAGCTCACTGCAACCTCCACTTCTCAAGTTCAAGTGATTCTCCTGCCTCAGCTTCCCAAGTATCTGAGATTACAGGCACGCGCCACCATGCCCAGCTATTTTTTGTATTTTTAGTAGAGACGGGGATTCACCATGTTGGCCAGGCTGTCTTGAACTCCTCAGGTCATCCGCCTGCCTCAGCCTCCCAAAGTGCTGGGATTATAGGTGTGAGCCACCATGGCCAGCCCCCAGTTTGTATTCTTTTATCCCTCATCCCCTTCCCAACCTTTCCCCTGAGTCCCCAAAATCCATTGTGTCATTCTTATACCTTTGCATCCTCATAGCTTAACTCCCACTTAGATTAAGAACATAAGATGTTTGGTTTTTCCATTTCTGAGTTACTTCCCTGAGAATAATAGTCTGCAATCTCATCTAGGTTGCTGCAAATACCATTAATTCATTCCTTTATATTGCAGTGGTTGATTTCTAAGTCCATGGCTGCGACCTTGCTCTCCTCTCTGGGGGCCTAGGCAGTAAAACAGAAAGAGGGGTACTAGTAAAGACCTCCAGAAAATAAAAAGTAGCTTTTCTTTCAGAAAAGAGTGATAACCCCTGTGATTTAAGCATTTCTCTCACTCTCTCTGATTATAATCGTGCTGCTGCCATTAAAGCGTAGCAGTTACCAGCCCAGAGCCTACAGTGGGATGCTTGGGTTCTAGTTCCAGCAGGGACCTTGGTCAAGTGCTTATCTTCTCTGGACCCCAGTTTCTCATCTGTCAAGTAGGGAGAATAATTGACCCTATCTCATGAGGTCATTGGGAGGATTAAAGGAGTTAAAGAATAGAACAGCACATTGCATGCATTGTTATTGAAGCATTAGCTGTTTTCTATTATTCTGCCTTGCTGCACACCCCAACCCTCAGCCTCTCTGAATTCTAAGAATTCTGTCTGGAAGAGGAGTGACATGTTCCCTGCTGTTAAGGAATCTCTCAGGCTGACTGTCATTTGTTCCTTTTAGGGGCCCTGGAACTTTCCCTCCTACCTTCCCCACTCTCAGGATTCAGCACCTCCTACTTTATTATTGCTATTATTAATCAAAACTTCAAACGGAATGTATAATCCTGGTACAAAAATTGAAACATACAGATAAATAAAAAGAAATTAAAATCAGCCCCAATACCACCATCCAGAAAGAACTATGGGTAACATTTTAAAGTATATCTCTTTCTAGACATTTCCCCATTCAATACATTTGTTTAAATATACATGTACATATATTAAGGTCAAGGGGTCAGCACTCTCAGCCTTAGGCCTTCCATAGAGGCCTGTCCCTTGGGTGGGGCATAAGACCACTGTTGGCTTCTCTGAGCCCAGGACCTTGGAAGGTCAAGGGCAGGACCTTTCCGCCTGACTCCACTGTGCTCCCCAGCCCCCAGCTGAGCCCGGGGCTGCCTTCCTCCAGCTTTGCACGAAATGCCCATCTTGGAGCTGCTTTTGATCCATCCCCTGGAGGTGGCTTATTGTATGGGATGATTGTGTCAGAAGGAAAACCCTCCAGCATGTCCCTGGGCATGAATTGGGCCTTTATGTGAAAAGCCACTCTCTGCCGAATCCCAGCTCCTCATAATCCACTCTGAAAGCTGACTATGACATCACCGTTGACTGGTATGGAGGGTCTGGGTGGGAGCCTGCAGAACATGTGCTGCTTAACAGCCAGAGAACCTACTGACAAATGCAAGGGCGACATTCAACCAGCCTTTCTCGGCTCCTCCCAAATGCTGGACAGTGAAATTTTGCTTTCATTTTATACCCTGGAATTTCTCAAAAATGTTAAAAATCACAATGACTATAATTTACTAAACACATATCCTGTGCCAGGCCCTTAACAGTCATCGTGTTCATTATATTTCATCTACACCTTATATTTCACTTATATTTCATCTTCACCTCCATTTTACAAGGCAGATAAGGAAACTGAGGCTCAGCAAGACCAGTGGCTTGACCCAGGCTCTGCCACCAATAAGGGTTGCAGAGTGGGACTTGAATCCAGGCAATGACTCTCAGGCCCATGCCCTTTATTTTTGCATAAAAATTAATGTTATATTTTATTAAGGTGACCCATACCCATAGTTAAAAATCAAATAGGGCTAAAAGGCAGAGGGAAAAAAAAACAGCAGCTGACAGCCTTGACTCTTTCCCTCCTCTGCCCTGCTACTCTGAAGCAGCCACTTTCCACTAGGCAGATGTCTTTTTCTGTCTTTACTTTAGATTTCTTTCTTTTCTTTTTTTTTTTTTTTTTTTTGATGGAGTCTCGCTCTGTCGCCCAAATTGGAGTGCAGTGGCATGATCTTGGCTCGCTGCAACCTCTGCCTCCCAGGTTCAAGCGATTCTCCTGCCTCAGCCTCCCGAGTACCTGGGATTACAGGCACCTGCCACCATGCCCAGCTAATTTTCGTATTTTTAGTAGAGATGGGGTTTCACCATGTTGGCCAGGCTGGTCTTGAACTCCTGACCTCTGGTGATCCATCTGCCTCGGCCTCCCAAAATGCTGGGATTACAGGTGTGGGCCACCGTGCCTGGCCCTACTTTAGATTTCAAAATGTTCAGCTAAGTGCCATTTCTCAATTTTTTTTCTGGAATAAGTAAGACACCATCACTCCCTTTCCCATTTCTTAATAAAGGGGAAAGGATTCCCCTTTATAAAGGATTGCAATTTCCCCCAATTCCTTTATTGGGTCTATCAAAGGTATGCAATAAAATGTCCCACTACTTATACATGCCATATAATTTACCAGTTCTTCCCATCGTCACTTGGCGAGACTTCCCTCCCCAGTTCTCTGTCCTACTGTTTCAGGCTGAGCTGGCTACTCTCTCCTTGCCCTGAGATTTTACTTATCTTTTGCCACCCATGTTCCTGGATGCCTTGCCTTCCTCTTTCATGATTTTGAGTTTTTGAGTCCTGGATTCCAGAAATGGTTTTATTTTCCCTTCACATTTGATTGATCATTTGGCTGGATATAAAATTCTGGGTTGAATTTTATTATCTGGGTTTAATCTGAGTTGAAAATCGTTTTCCTTCAGAATTTTGAAGGCATTTCTCCACTGTGTTCTGTTTAGTGCTTCTGATGAGAAGTTAGATCCCTTCCTGCTTTCATTCCTTTGTCTATTAGGTGTGTTTCTCTTTCTAGGACTTTCTGGATGTTCTCTTGATCATTTGGTTCTAAAATTTGATACTGATGTGCTCTGGTGTGAACCTTTTTTTTTTTTAAACTCCCTGTACTGGGCAGCTTCTATTAAATTTTTTTGCTTTAGTTATATTTTAAGCTTCAAAGAGCTTTCTTCTCTGACTGTTCCTTTTATGTTGTATTTTTCCAAGATTACTAATTTATAGCTTCCTTTTTGTTTTTTAAAGGTTTTTCTACTTACTGTATATTCTTGGTGTCTGATTCTTCTGAGCCTTTTTTTTTTCTGGTTTTTTTTTTTTTTTTTGAGACGAAGGCTCACTCTTGCTCCCCAGGCTGGAGTGCAATGGCGCAATCTCGGCTCACTGCAACCTCCGCCTCCCGGGTTCAAGCGATTCTCCTGCCTCAGCCTCCCGAGTAGCTGGGATTACAGGCGCCTGCCACCACGGCTGGCTAATTTTTGTATTTTAAGTAGAGATGGGGTTTCACCATGTTGGCCAGGCTGGTCTCGAACTCCTGACCTCAGGTGATCTGCCTGCCTCGGCCTCCCAAAGTGCTAGGATTACAGGTGTGAGCCACCGCGCTCGGCCTTTCTGTTTCTTTTGACCTGTCTCTTTCATTTCAAATATCCGGTGATCCTTCATATTTAAGAGTGAGGAAGTCTTGTAAGTTAGTGAGCATCATAGTAGGGTGACCAGATGGTTAGAAGGCTGTTTTACTGAGAATCTTCAAGTAAAGTTTTGTGGAGATCTTTTCTAAGAGTGGAGGATGTGGGTGAAGAAGCTCAATCTATCTAGAGGAGAATCTTCCAATTACCTGCCTGGAAAGGCAGTGACACCCAGCTGCTAGTGTTCTGGGAACAGCCAAAGAATCTGAGAGTCCATAGTTTATATATATTTTAAAATTACTCTCCCATTTTTCAAACTCCTGCCTCACTGTCATGCTGTGCTGTGACTAGTGTCTTGAGTTCCAGACCTGACTCAGAGCATCTCCAGGTCAACTTCTCCAGATAATACATTTCTGGCCTCTTCCATGCAAAAAGAGAGGAGGGGGTGGCCTCCTATTGCTTAGCCCTGAGTCTCACCCCTGCTTTCTGTGGTACCTGGTGCCTTTAAGCATCAACTTTTTGGAGATTCTGTGGAGCACCTTGGTTCACTTCTCATCACACACTTCTCTTGTATGCATGTGGGGTGTGACTTAGCTCTGTGTGGAGACTGCTCCTCTACCTACCTGCCCATCTATAAAAATGTTTGGAAGTCTTTCCTCCCCAGTGGTTATCTTCTTATCTCTTCATCCTTTTGACCCAATGGCTTTGTAATTCCATTATTAGTGGTTTTTTTTTTTTTTTTTTTTTTTTGCAGGGGGGTGAATGAGGTGGGATTTGGAAGGATGTTATCCACTGTTACATAATATATCACGCCAAACTTCATAGCTTAAAGCAACAATAATTTATGATTTCTCATGATTCTAGGAACTGACTGGGTGACCCCTTTGCTGGTTTCACCTGAGTTCACTCATACTGCTGCATTCAGTTATCATTGGCTGGCCTGGAAAATACAAGTTGGTGCTAGCTGTTGGTTGGGGTTCCTCAGTTCTCCCCGCTTGGTCCCTCATCTTCTAATATGCTAGACTAGCTTATTTAAAGGGTGGTCTCAGGGCAATGTTCCAAAAAGTTAAAGGCAACATCACTTCCACTGAATTCTGTTTGTCAAAGCAAGTCAGATCAGATTTAAGACTTTTTATCTTGATGGGAGGACTGACAAAATCACACTGTAAAGAGGCTTGTTTCAGGAATGGGAGAAATTATTGCAGCTATCTTTATGAAAAATCTATAAGAAAGTGAGAAAAAATACATGCAGAATGCTAATCCACCACGTTTAGCAGGAGGTCTTCCCATGCTGTTTGTATTGCCCCACACCACCATGGTCTCTGTCCTGTAGGCTCATATAAGACCTTTTATAGAATTTTGTTAACCAAACCCTCATGGCTTTAGGTAGTTACAAATACATATACCATATCCTCATGCTGGGGAAAGAAGCAGAACACACTAATTATCACTAAAGGATTTGGAATTGGAGAAACTTGGGTTCAAGTCCCAGTGTCACTACTTATTAGCCCTATTACCCTGGGTAAGTAATCTCTCTGAGCCTCAACTTCTTTAGCTATAAAATGTGGTTTTGCAGCTGGGCACAATGGCTCACACCTGTAATCCCAGCATTTTGGGAGGCTGAGGTAGGTGGATCACTTGAGCCCAGGAGTTTGAGACCAGCCTGGGAAACATGGCAAAACCCCATCTCTACTAAAAATACAAAAATTTAGCTGGGCATGGTGGTGTGCCCCTGTAGTCCCAGCTACTCAGGAGGCTCAGATGGGAGGATCTATTGAGCCTAGGAGGTTGAGGCTGCAGTGAGCTGCCATCAAGCCACTATCTCTAGCCTGGGTGACAGACGGAAGCCCCGTCTCAAAAAAAAAAAGTGGTTTTGCATATAATAAATGAATTAACATACGTAAAACGCATACTTAGCACACTGTCTGGCACTGGCAAAGGGATCAAATAACAGTAGCATCATTAAGTGTTTTTTGGGGAACAAATTCACATCTCTAATAATATAACCACTGGAGATGGAATTTGAGAAAGAGTCTAATTTAAATCCAGGCTCCGCCACATAATACCTTACAGGACTGCTGTGAGGATCAAAGGAATTCAAGCAGAAAATGCACCTAGAAGCATGCCTGGCACATCACAAATGCTCAGGACATGCTTTGTGTGCATCCCTGATTTCTTAGGTCACGGCACCAAGCATGAGCTCGGCTCCAACAGGGCCATTGTGATGAATAGCACCTGTCAGGTGTGGGGTGCGTTTTCTCCCACAGGGACCAGCCGCAGTGTGAAAAGCCATTTTGTCTCTTCTTTGGGGTTCTTTTACTCTTTCTCACACTCTCAGGTGATCAGCTCCCAGGCGTGCCTGTCTCTACATCTACAGCTCTGGTTATTAACCTGTGTCCCGTTGGTGAGCCTCATGGGGCTAAGATTAAAGAAGGAGTCAACAGGATCTGAGAAAGAGCCAGAGGGGCTCTCCTGGCTCTTTCTGGTTTTTTGTTTGTTTGTTTGTTTTGTTTTTTGTTTTTTTCTGGTCACCCGCAATTCCGGAAGGTGTTTTCTTACACTGGTTCTTCTCATACCGTCAGGGAGGGGAGTGTGCTTCACAGTGAGTGACATTACAGACCCCATTTCACTGCCTAGCCACCTGCTTTTGCAACCTGCCTGGCCATCAGCCATTTGGAAAATGTGGATAACTAGAAAGGCAACCACCAGTGAAGGGAGCTGGTTCTCACCTTGTCCATGCTACAGATAGTTAAGTGTCAGGCAGTCTGTGTGTCCTGAGCCCTGTGTGAATACTCCATCCTAACCTCTGGGTTTGGTTATATCAAAGAAAACCCTCATACTGCCCCTGGGAGCAGATGGGGAAGGATCAGATTTGTTTGGCGAGTTACAGTGACATCTGTCTAAGGAGATCACCCGCAATTCTGGAAGGTGTTTTCTTATGCTGGTTCTTCTCATACAGTCACATTTATGACTAACTTCTAAGGCTGGAGATTTTTCTCATAAACATAGTGTTTTGTAGTTTTTAAGGAAAAAAAAAAATCCCAGCAGAACTGCAACATCTAAGCTAAATCTTCTTGCCCCTGAAGTTTAGTTATTTGTCATTGTCCTCATTTGTGACTCAAAGGCAGAGAGAAGAGGGTTCACCAAAACACTTTGAAATATCTGTTGGCTGACCCAGCTGGGGAGGGCTGAGCAAATGTGGTGAAGAGGAGCAGAAGAGTGGCCTGGAGCCTCACTTGGGCATCCTGGGACACTCAGTGGCAAGCAGAAAGGGAATTCTGGAGCCCGTGGCGCGTAGTGTGAGGTCTAAGCAGATCCACTGCAGGCACCACCTCCTCCCCTACTGGAGGCTGCCTGCCCTCCCCAACTGTCCTCACCTACCTGCGTCACTGGCCACCACTGACCCTCTGGTGGGGAGGTAGCCAGACCCAAGGCAGCTGGGGCCAGGGTTCCCCAGTTAGCTGATGCCCCTCACCACAGGGATTCAGTGACTCACTCTGAATGAAGCATCATAAATTTCTTCCTAATAGCACACTTGTCACTGAACCATTCCAACAATTTGGCAGGGCAAGCCATTTGGCTCAAGGCAGCAGAGGTAATCCTCTGTTTATAAAGTGTCTCCTGCTGAGCAATGCAGAGGGGTGAGGACCCCTTGGTAGTCGATGTCACAACATCCATTTTGAGCTGGCATGATCATGCCCACTTTACAGATGAGGGAGTGGAGTCCCAGGGAGATCACATGGGAAGAATTAGTGACTCAGCCCCTCAAGCCCAGCTGGGACAGACCCTGGCACCTCACCCCCAGCGGGCAGCACCGTGAAGTGGCTGGCAGCGGGGGCCTTGGCAGAAGACAGCTAGGGTTTGAATCCTGGTGCTGGGTGACCTCAGACAGGTTCCTTAGTCTCTCTAGGGTCTCCTTCCCTCATGTGCACAAGGAGGATAATGCTTAACTCAAGGGGCTTGCGTAGAGATTCAGCACAGTGCCGGCGCCCAGCAAGCGCCCCTGAGTGGCTGTTTGCTGGTGTACAGTCTCCAGGTAACCGCCACGTGCCTCCGGGTAGTTCCCTCAGCATCGCTACTGGGCGCCCTGTGTCCTTCCTGTGGCACTCTATCCTCTCATTGTTCTTCTGAGTAAAGAAAGGTGGCCATCGACATTATATTATTTAATACTCCCAGGGGGCATTTGGGGAGGTATTATTAGCCCTAGTTGACAGGGGTGGGAACTGAGGCTGAGAGTTTGGGTGACTTCTCCAAGACCCCCCAGGGGCGTGCCAGAGCCAGGGTCAGACTCGGAATTCATTCACCAACACAACAGTTGCCAGGGGAAGCCCATGGTCGGTGACCAGCTGCCACCAGGGAAGTTCCGGATGCGGCTAAGTATTTTTGTCGCTGCATTCTTCCCAGGCAGCTCACTCCCTGGACTCTGGACAGTTGCCAAGGAGGTGTGAAGGGAAGGCAGGAGGAGGACTTCCTGTGGAGGGCGCAGGCCAGGCAGTGAGGCAGCCGAGCTGTCGCTTCCGGAGCTGACATTGCACATCTCGCTCATGCATGCGACACTGCTGCAGACGAGGCTCAGTGCCGTCCCCGTTTTCCAGAGGCAAAGGAGTCACAGAGAGCTCCCGTCCCTTGCCCCGCCTGCCCTGGCGCCCACCTGTGCTGCTGCCCTACTGCCTTCCATCAGGGAGGATAAAGCCGACCGGGGCAGTTTGGAAACCACATTCAGACCAAATGACCCTTCCCCACCACCGCGGGCGCCGCAGCCCTCTCTACCTGCAGCAGCCTCTGGGCCTCTCACCAAGTAGGCCGCAGCCTCCTTGAGCTTCTGCGTTGGGGGCGGTTGGGGGTCAGGGAGGGGCCTCTCCTGCTGTCGCCACGCATCCTGGGGACACAGAGGTGGCATCAGTCTGGGCAGCGTCTTCAAGACTCCACACCTCAACGCTACCTCTCTGTGCCGGCCATGAAGCCGGGACTTCGTTAGAGGACCCGGCGGGTCCTGGAGCCGGCAAGGACTTCGCAGTGCTCTGCCCGCCCCCCGCAGCCTCCCAGCCCCCGCCACGTGGGCCCCGAGCGCGCCGCCGTGCCCCGCGCCCCTCCATCTCTACGCTCTGAGCCGCGCGCCCCCGCCAGGTCCTCGCGGACTGGAGGCGCCGGCCCCAGCCAGAAACAGCCGGAGCCAGCGCCGCCGGACTGTGCTGGGCTCGGGCTGAGGAAGCTGAGGGACCCAGTGGCTCCCCAGGCGGCCTCCTGTGAGGGGCTCAGGAGAGCGCCTGCTCCAGAGGCGGCGGGCCCTAGATCCTACAGACCGCCTAGGGGGCCACAGTCGGGCAGTCCAAGGCTGCCCTGCGGCGACCCGGCCTATGTCACAGGATTTCACAGCTGCTAAGGGACTGGCCTCCTCTGCCGTCACCGACACCCGAGAGGGAGCTGCGGGGTGGGGTAATGGTTTAAGTTTGGGGTTCCAGAAGCTTAGGGTGGAATGACAACCCCCCCCCGCCCCGCCCCGCCCCGCCCCGCCCCGCACACGGGACGTGTCTTTCCTCCGAGGGTGACCCTGGGGAGGTCCTTTCACCTGTGGGCTGTCTCCGCACTGCTTCAGGGCCTGTGACATGGAGGGCTGCTGTGGAGGAAGGAGCCTAGAACTTGCTAGACCTTCATACACACCTTCCCGGGAGCCTGGCCTCCCTGCAGAGCAGTCTCTGACACAGAAAAGGAAGGAATTAGCATAATCACCAATTACACTCTCTCCACTAGCTTCCCTGTGAAAATAATTTGCCGGTGCCCAGAGGCAGGGCTCCTCTAAACAGCCACCAGGTCGGGCGACGTGAGGCTCAGGGAATTGTGGAATTAAGCTAATTAAGTGGAAGCCGTCCTCCTGGGGCTGTGTGTTCCTGCGGCTCTGAACGCATCGTCTTACACACAAAAGCAGCTCTAGAAAATGTGGAGAAGGCACGGAGTGATGCCAATGACGAAGATGATTAGAGGGTTGGAAAATGAGATGGATGTCAGATTAAAGGTTAAGGCAACTAGGAGTGTTTAGCCGGAAGGAGGAAAGAATGAGGAGCAGGAGCAGGCAACTTAATCATCTTTTCCCATGTTGCGTGAAGAAGATACCCCTCGGCTCCTTCCCTCCCCGAGACTGCGCTCTCCCGCCCTCACTCCCTGTATCTTTATCTCACGCATATTTGTGTTCTATTTACTTTTCTCTCTTTTGTTTTTTTCCTTCTTTTCTTTTTCTGCTTTTTGTTTGTTTTGTTTTGTTTTTTTCTTTTTCGAAACCAGATATCACTCTTCCAGGCTAGAGTGCTGTGGCACGACCATCACTGCAGCCTCCAACTCCTGGGCTCAAGTGATCCTCCCACCTTAGCCTCCCGAGTAGCTAGGACCACAGGCATGCGCCACCACACCTGGCTAATTTTTAATTTTTTTGTGGAGATGGGGTCTTGCTGTGTTGCCCAGGCTGGTCTTGAACTCCTGGCCTCAAGTGATCCTCCTGCCTTGGCCTTCCAAAGCTCTATTTACTTTTCAATTCATTTTGACCTTTATGGAGCATCTACTCTGTGCCAGACACTTTACCAGATTCTGGATCTACCAATGATGAAAAGACAGGGTTTCTGCCTTGCAGGTCAAGTAGAGAAATGAGTCCATAACCTCAAACTATGCATACTGTAGGACTGTAGTGCTTCAGGTGCTACGGGAGCTCAGGAGCACTGTGGGCTGCTCAGCCCTGTCTGGGCTTCAGGGTAGTTTGATGAGGTGATGCCCAAGTGGAGACTTGAAGAATGAATCAGTGAGCCAGGTGAGGACGGGTGGGGAGAGCATTCCAGACAGCAGAAGCAGCCTGAGCCCAGAATGCCAAATGCAGTGTTTGAAGGCAACTACGGCTGGCCTTTACTGAAGCCAAAAGTAGAGAAGCAAAAAGGGTGGTTCAGGGTGTGGCCAGAGGGCCAGGCAGGGCCCAGATCCTAAGGTCCTGCACCCTGGGATAGGGAACATGAGCTTTATCTGGAAACCAGCACTTCCCAGAGTGTTGAGAATAATATAGGTTACATGCAGCGTTAATAAAAGTTCCAAAATAAATAAAAGGTGCTTCTTGGTAAAATAAGTTGAATTGACCTTGAGTTAAACCAGTGATTCTCCACTAAGGGCTGATTTTGCCCCCCGCCCCCAACCCACCCAGGGGACATTTGGCAATGTCTGGAGATATTTTTGGTTGTCCCAATTTGGGGGTAGGGTGCTATTGGCATCCAGTGGGAAGAGACCAGGGATGCTGCTTATCATCCTACAATGCACGGGGCAGAACCCTACAAAAACTGCTTCCCCCTCCTCAGACTCCCACAGCCCCTGCACAGGCCCTGCAGATTGTTCGTCTCTGTACTGTCATGGTCTTTTCACTGGTTGGTCTCCCTGCTGGACTGTGCAGGTCCTAATGGCTGGGTTCAGGTAGCCAGGATTTGGAGGAGGACAGAGGAAGATGTGGAATAGAGGACATCCTGGCAGGGTTGGATGGAGGCGGCTACACTGGGTGGAATCTGGCTCTTTGGGGATACTTCTGCCATCAGTGTTGGTGGTTGATTCTAGAGGCTGTTTCCATTCTAGCAGCCCCTCACCAGCGGTGCCTGGGGCGTGGGGAAATTAGACCTGACCCTGAGGAGCTGGCCAGGTCAGTTAGAGTCAGGGACCTGCTCTCTGCTGGGCACTGTGAGGGTGCTGGGAAGACCATCCTCTATGGCCAGGTTCTCCCCTGTTTAATTTTTCTTCCCAGAATCTTGTAACATATCTGTTTTTTAGTTGGTTTGCCTGTCTCTTCTCTCTCTCTTTTTTTTTTTTGAGACGGAGTTTCGCTCTTGTTACCCAAGCTGGAGTGCAATAATGCACAATCTCGGCTCACTGCAACCTCCGCCTCCTGGGTTCAAGCAATTCTTCTGCCTCAGCCTCCTGAGTAGCTGGGATTATAGGCATGTGCCACCACACTCGGCTAATTTTTTGTACCTTTAGTAGAAATGGGGTTTCACCATGTTAGCCAGGCTGGTCTCAAACTCCTGACCTCAGGTGATCTGCCCTCCTTGGCCTCCCAAAGTGCTGGAATTACAGGCGTGAGCCACTGCGTCTGGCCACCTGTCTCTTCTCTTCACTCCACTCCCCACCCCCGAATGTCAGCCCCATGAGGGCAAGGCTTTTAATCTGTTTTGTTCATGGCAGTATTCCCAGTGTCTAGAGCAGTGACTGGCATGTAGATTGTGCTCAACTAAAATTTGTTGAATGGGCCAAGCACAGTGTCTCATACCTGTAATCTCAGCGCTTTGGGGGGCCAAGGGGGGAGAATCTCTTGAGGCTAGGAGTTTGAGACAGCCTGGGCAACATAGTGAGACTCTGTCTCTATGAAAAATTTAAAAATTAGTTGGGCATGGTGGTGCATGCCGGTGGTCCTAGCTACTTGGGAGGCTAAGGTGGGACGAGCGCTTGAGCCCAGGAGGCAGGTTAGAGTGAGCTATGATTGTACCACTGCACTCCAGCCTGGGTGACAGAGCAAGATTCTGTCTCAAAAAATAAAAATAAAAATAAAAATAAAAATTGTTGAATGAATGAACATCTGAATCCCTATCCTGCTCTACAGCTAGCTCAGAGTGCCTGGTGCTGGGGTTAAAGTCTACCACGGCAGGAACAAGAAATTCCCAGGAAGTCTCCCTCCTAAAACATGTAGCAGTTTTTCATTATCCAGAGTGATCATTCTGAAATTGCTTTAGGGGGAAAGACGTGGGAACTTCACACTTCCACCCAGGGTGCCCCCTCAGCAATCTGGAATGATGGACTAACCATTAGCTGAGGGAGGAGGGGGCAGGACAGGATGATGCAAAAGGCCAAGCTAGCCGACTGCCAAATGAAATTGTAGTCACTTGACAGGGCAATGGCATGAGCAAAGGTCTCCTGTCTCCCAGAACTGTTGCCAAGCATTGTGACACACGGGCCTAATCGCATCTGAGTGCGGTGCTGCAGAGGAGCGGCCCACGCGGCTGGCAGGGCTTCAGTCACTGCCTGCTTGCCTGAGGAAGCCCATGCATCACGATGGGGGCCAACAGGGCTCCCCAGTTACACACGGGGAGTGAGGACCAAAGCGGGAGAGCAAGTGCCTGCTGGTCCCCTTGGAAACAACACAAGAAAATAAACACTTGTGGGTAGAAGTAGGTGTCCAGGCCTAGTCAAGGTTGCCAGGGAATTTTGTGCTAATGGGGGTTCTGTTTACCCCTAAGGCAGCAGCTTGGGCTGTGAGCAGAGCAAGGCTGTTAGGAATCTGGGTTCAAATCTCAGCTGACCCTCCAAGCTGTGAGTTCCGGGCTGCAGAGGCTAAAGATCTCCAGCTGTCCTTTTGAGCTTTGTGGCCCCAGGAAAGTCATTTATAAAAAGTATGTGTAGGTGAAGGCAGGGCTTGTTATCTGCTCTGCTAAACTACAGATTTATTGGGAGGATCAAAAAGATAAGGAAGGGTGGGTGTGATGGCTCACACCTATAATTCCAGCACTTTGGAAGGCCAAGGTGGGAAGATCGCTTGAGGCCAGGAGTTCAAGACTAGCCTGGGCAACATAGCAAGACCCCATCTGTACAATAAATAAAAATATTAACCAGGCATGGTGGTATATCCCTGTGGTCCCAGCTACATGGGAGATTGAGGTGGGAAGATCACTGGAGCCTAGGAGTTCGAGGTTATAGTGAGCCATGATCATGCCACTGCACTCCAGCCTGGGAAGAGTGAGACCTTGTCCCCAGAATTAAAAAAAAATAATAAAACATAAATAAAAATAAGCTGAAAAAAAGGTAGAGCAAGAGGAAGGGCCTTGAACCCTAAAGTGTGAGGTGTAGGTAGGAATGAGGGGGATGCAGCAGTGCCCCCCAGGATGGGGATGTGCATCGGAAACAATGGCAAGCTCTCCCGGGAGGGGTGGCCTTTGAGTTACCAGTGGAAACCAATTGGCTTCCATGCACACTCCTCACCTGCAGGAGATGCCTTCTTAGTCCCTGGGGTTGTTGGAATTCTACTTAAGGCCTCTTAACGGACAACTCCCTGGAGGCCCAGAGACACACAGATCATATGGGCTGTCTGAATGATTACTTTATTATAGTAAAGTAATTTATTATATAGTATATAATTTATAGTCAGCTTACAGTCATGTAGCATTTTCAATTTGTCAAACTCTTTCCCACAAATGTAATCCTTAAATAGCACCAAAAGCTAGGAATTTTTATGCTCATGTTACACACAGTTTTACAGAAGCTCAGAAAGGATGGGTGAATTTCCCAAAGTCACACAGCCAGTTAGTATCAGAGACAGGCTTTGAGTTCAGGTCTCTGACTGCAGGTTAGTTTGGTGTTTGCTGTGTACATAAGACGGGCGACAGAGCGAGACTCCGTCTCAAAAAAAAAAAAAAAAAAAAAAAAGACTGTTCTCTCCTTCCATAGTTCTGTCCTCGCCTCCTTTTTTTAGGGTCTTTGGTTTGGGGCCCACTTTTTTTGTTTGTGTTGTTTAACCACCCTCCCCTGAAAAATCTAAGCAGAACCCTCTTTCTGATGAGGACACCCTGGAACACAGAATTCTCTCTGGGACAGGCTACTGTTCTAAGAGCTTAGCCTGGGCAGCTTCCTCAGCTGGTGCCATGCCCTTGGGGTGGTGCACCTGGAAGGGCTCCTTACCTAGTCTGTGCTCCATCTGCCAAGAGAATCTGCCATCCTCAGGAAGACATAATTATTCCAACATGTATAGATTGCCTGAGAAGATGATTTCCTAGATCTCCCAGATATGAGATGATGAACACTCTCTCTCCTTAAAATAAGTACAGTTCACTCACTTCCCTGTGGAAAGGGAATTTTGCACTGGGATTCTGAATGCTAGGAATAAAATGAAGGAAAGAGAGGGTTAGTTTACAATAAAGATTAAAATACTCTCTGATGTTTAAAATAACACTTCATATGCTACCAATTCATTTCACATCCATTACTACATTTATTCCTTACAATAGCCCTGTGAGGTATTATCAGCCCAATTTGAAAAATTGGGGAAACTTTGGTTTAAAAGTGCATAGATGACTTGCCCAAGGTCACAAGGCTGACACGCAATAAAGATGGAACAAAGACGTGGCTCTTCTAGGAGTCCAGGGCTTTCACAGATGGCAACAGCTGTTACTTTCCGTAGGTGAAAAGTTAATCAACAATAAATTCAGGCTGGGCGTGGTGGCTCAAGCCTGTAATCCCAGCACTTTGCAAGGCTGAGGAGGGTGGAACACTGGAGCCCAGGAGTTCAAGACCAGCAACATAGTGGGACTCCATCCCTACAAAAAATTAAAAAATTGGCTGGGTGTAGTGATGCATACCTGTGGTCCCAGCTACTCAGGAGGCTGAGGCGGGAGGATCACTTGAACCCAGGAGGTCGAGGCTGCAATAAGCCATGTTCACACCACTGCACTCCAGCCTGGGCAACAGAGTGAGACCCTGTCTCGAGAAAACAAAAGACAAAATTCAAAGGTTGATTAAACGTAGGGACTTCTAATGAGAATCCCTTTAAATTCCATAACATTATTACTTATCTTTTCTCCAAGAATGAGAAAATTAGGCTAAGGCATCTAATTGATGCTCACCACAAACCTATGATCCAATATTATAGCAGGTACATGAAGACGGATGAGAGGTATATATTAAGAGACTCACCAGTCATTGCTTGATGTTGGGTCCATGGGCATTGTCCAGGACTTTGACTTTAAGAGCGTCCAGGCTGGTGTTGTCTCTATGAGTAGTTACAGAGCAATACTCGGTTTCTTACCCAGATGCCCAGAGGAATGTAAGAATAAGTGTAAATCAGCCGGGCACGGTGGTTCATGCCTGTAATCCCAGCACTTTGGGAAGCCAAGGCAGGTGGATCACGAGGTCAAGAGATCGAGACCATCCTGGCCAACATGGTGAAACCCCATCTCTACTAAAAATACAAAAATTAGCTGGGCGTGGTGGTGCGCCTGTAATCCCAGCTACTCGGGAGGCTGAGGCAGGAGAATTGCTTGAACCTGGGAGTCAGAGGTTTCAGTGAGCCGAAGATTGCTCCACTGTACTCCAGCCTGGTGACAGAGCAAGATTCTGTCTCAAAAAAAAAAAGTGTAAATCACAGTCTTCACCTTCAAGGAGTTTACAATTTGTCAGGAAGGTAAGGTTTATTATGAAATCTTTGAATTGTCGTGTACAAAACAGAATGGAATTGAATGCTCATCTGCTTGGTACCTAGTCTGAGAAGGCTTCATGAAGGAAGTAGGTCTTGACAATGGGTAGGACTTAGAGGGAGAGGAAGGAGAAAGGGTTTCCAGTCTGGTGGAGGAGTTACCAAGCAGCAGAAGGGTATTGGGGGTGCGTGGCTCCCAGGGCCACCCTGCCCACACTCCTGGCACTCTGGTCATTCTGCATACATTACCTGGGTCCTTGTACAAGCTAGGTTTTAACTCTCAGCCTTTGTACCTGCTATTTCCTCTTTTGGAAAGAGCTTCCCTCCCTTGAGTTTTTGTCCCACATCTCTCATGCCTTATTTACCTGTTAAACTCTTCTCTCCTGCCACTTCAACTTCGATTCTACCATGAGACTGTCTCTGACCCACTGTGGTGCTTTGTCTTCCTCTTTGTGGCACTAACCACGTGGAGGAATGTTTTGTTAGTGAGCCTGTGTCCTCCACCAGATCATGCCCCTTGAGAACAGGGACTCCTTTCTGTTAATTTTTGTATGGTATTTGTTGAATAAATATAAACAAAAGAAGGAAATATTGAATGAATGAATGAATGAATGAATAAGTCTGCAAAAAGATACTCTCGCTATAGGTTCACCTAGAACCAGTGGTGCCCTGGGCCACTAGATGAAATATGCCTAATAAATTGTACAGAATTAATGATTCTGCAATGAATGATCGATGAATTGACTGAGCTATATATAGATGAGAGTGAAAACACATCATCGCTATTCAGCTGACTTGGTTGACATTTTTGTTTTAACCTTTTTCCTTGAAGTCTGTGAGGCTGAGACCTGGAGGATCAGGAGGAGTTCATCGAGGGTAGGGTGCAGAGCATGCTGAATGGCCTGTGCAGGGGCTGGAGGAGAGACAGCATGGGCTCAATGCAAGTGGTTCAGCAGCAGCTCAAAGGCCATGAGCAGAATCTGGAAAGGCAAGAGAGGAGGCCAGAGAAGCGAGCAGGGGCCAGAACTCCAGACGAATTCAACTGCTTCCTGAGGACAGTAGGATATAATTAGAACCTTTAATTTAAGCAAGGTGTGTTGCAAGACTTTTTTTAAAAAAAGAAAGAGAAACTTGACTGAAATGTAAAGAATGGTTGGAGCAGAATAAGACTGGAGGCTGCTGGGAGGCTGGATTTAAGGCTGTTGCAGAAACTTGGGTATGGGATGGTGGGGGCTGGACTAAGGTGGCAGCTGTGGGGTTGGAGAAGGGTTAAGGAGGTAGAATGGACACACCTTAGTGACAGTAGGATTGGCGGGTGGTGAGGGTGCTGGTGGTGGGAATCTAAGCAAAGGAGTCGAGGGTGATAATGCTAAGGGGTCTGGATTGGGAAGCTGGGTGGATTTCAACTAAGACGAGAGAATCTGTGGGAAGAGGTACAGTTGGGATGAGAGGGAGGAAAGAATAAGTTATTTCCAGGAATTTTTCTAAACATAGGTTTTGTTGAAGGTCTTAATTATATGATATATAGATATAGATATACATACACCTAGATGTTTTCCAATTAGTGTAATTGCAATAATTCAATTAATTGATTTGGTTACTTAATGAAGTTGAAATAGTATGCTTTTTCAATTAATGTAATAACTATCTTTCCACGCTATTATAAACTATGTGCTATTATAGAATCTTCATGAACATTAAAGGGCAAAATGTAAATAAATATGTACGCTGTAAGAGAAAATGAGGGTCAGGTATACTAGTTGAAGGGGTTCCCCTGCTGCACTCCTACAGGAGCAGGACAGCCTCAGCGGCCCACCCCCAGCATCTTCTGGGAGAGGCCTGTTCTTAGGGCAGAGAGTGAGAAGAGCCTACAGCTGTACCCAGGAGGCCCCAGGAGCATCACTACAAAAGGGGCAGGGGACCCAGTGGGAAGTCAACCTCAGGAGCAAGGGCAGAAGGGGCTCAGGGGAAGATCTGTGACTATGAAAGGGATCTGAAGAAAACTTTCCCAACCGACTGGCAAGAGAAAATGACAGTGTCTTTGAATGTATTCTGTAATATCAAAAACGGAATACAAATTTACGGAACTATCAGTGTTATCCACAATCAAAACTATCCATTTAAAACTGATGGAAGTTTTCCTAGTATTCAGCTGTAAAACAACAGGCATCGTGAAGGAGACTTTTTTTTACCACCTTCTCCTTTGTACATTTTGAACCATTCAACTATATATATGTGGGTGTGTGTGTATATATATATATTTATATATATATATATATATATATATATATATATATATATATATCTATCTCCACCTCCTGGGTTCAAGCCATCCTCCCACCTCAGCCTCTGGAGTAGCTGGGACTACAGGCGTGTTTTTAGTAATTTTTGTGTTTTTAGTAGAGTTGGGGTTTCACCATGTTGGCTAGGTGGTGATCTGCCCACTTCCGCCTCCCAAAGTGCTGGGATTATAGGTGTGAGCCACTGCTCCTGGCCACAACAATAATTTTTTAAAAAATTCTCTAAATTTATGTAAATCATTCTCACATGCACTTATTCATTATTATTCAACCATATAAAGACAAGTCAGATCACTAGGATTTTTTGGTATCAAGAAATCCTAAAAAGGAAGGCAGCGATTGTGTCTCACAGTAATTTTATTCAACAGAAAAGCATGAGGCCCATGCCTAGGATAACATTAGATGATCACATATTGAACTAAAAGTAAATGAGTCACAGTGGCTTACAGAGGGAAAGGGCATGGCATGAAATGTACAGGATTTAGATTCCAGTTGGGCTAAACTTCTTGGTGCCTCAGTTATTTTCATCTGTAAAATGAGTATAATTAAACTTTTATAAAGAAACATTATTGGACTCAACCAGGATAACCTCTGGGAAGCCAGCTAGCACCTGTGACCTACAACTCTCTATGTGCCAGTTTGTTGAATCTTAGAAATAATAACTTTTCATGTGCAGGAATGCTTTTGACTACAAATGATGGAGAAACCTGACTGGATGGCTGGGATAAATAGGGGCTTATTTTCCTCACTGTATAACATGTTTCTGGAGTCAGTAAGTCCAGGGCTGGGGTAGGGTGACCAATGTCCAGATTTGCCCAGGATCATTCCTGTTTTAGCATCTTGGGAAACCTCCACATAATTGGTCAGCCTGGGAGTAATGGTCATCAGTTCACCAAGGTGCTTTCTTCTTTTTCCCTTGGCCAGTCTGACTGTGGCTTGCTCCCTCATGGTTGCAAGGTGACTGTTGCACCTTCGGGTATTACATCTGCATTCCAGGTGGGAGGAAGGGGGATGGCAAAAGGATCCAAGGCATTCTCTTAGAGAAGTTTACCTCTTATTCTGGAAAGAAAGTGTTCCTCAAAGACTTCCACTTACAGCTTATTGGCCAGAGCTGTCTCACTAGCTGCAAGAGTAGTTGGGAAATTAAGGCTTTGTTTCCATGCTAGTAGAAGAAGGCTAGGGAAGAAGGCTGGGAGATGCTTTTGGGTGGCCCCTCCGCAGTGCCTGGCCCAGCTTCTCCTCTTTCTTACACCCAGCCATGGTGTACTGAGCACCTGCTATGGGACAGGCACTAAGCTAGAATCTGCGATGGACAGAAAGACGAATAAACGCAACCCCCAGCCTGATTAAGCACACAGCCTGCTGCAGAGGTGACTATGTCAGAGGGCAGCTGTGAGAGGGTAGGAGGTGCTGTGCTGCCAAATCTCCCTGAGCTGCAAGTGTGAATGACAGGATAATATTGAACATGATGTACTTTCCAATAAAGGTGAATACCAAGATATGAGGACAGGACTTGGCAACGAGAAAGCTCCGGAGAGAACAGCCAGCTGGGTGTGAAAAGAAGGAATGTGTGTGTAGGGGTAAGCACCTCTAGCCCCTGAAAATGACCAGGCTGGGGGCCTGCCATGGCATTAGGGAGCCATTGTGAATACAACAGTGTGAGAATGGAGATCTGAGTGACCGTGGGGCACACCAGCATAGAGCCGCAAGAACTCCTTGTGGAGATGAGTCACCACCCACAAATGAAGAGTCCAAACCTGCCCTTGAGAAAAAGAAGACCAAACCTTTGTCTCCTGCCTGAGGATCCTGCTGGGTGCTCAAGCCTCACTTGGCCTGGTTTCCTATCCTTTTGGCCTCTGATGCTAGCCCCCTCCTCACTTTTCAATCTCTCTCTACTTCCCCAGCTCAGTTGCTAAATCCACCGCTAGGCCCAGGTCTGGCCAGCCTCTGAGCCAGGCAGGCCAGAGGCAGCAGCCTCAGTTGCCAGCCAGGGTTGGTGCCTGATGCCAGCGACCTGCTTGGGTTCCTAAGTGAGCGGCAGCATGCTCTGCCTCCCCTGCACTGGTACTGGCCAGGTCACAGCACAGCTGTGGCTCTAACCCCCTCCCAGCAGCCTCAGAGCCATGGGAGCAGACCTGGAATTATCCTGCAGGTGCTTCACGTGAACTCACGGAAACAGAAAAAAAAAAATCACACAAGGTAGGAGAGTTACTGTCATGTTGCCCATGAGGAAATGAGGCCCAGGGAGTCCAGGTGAGCAGCTGGAGTTTATCTGGACACTCAGGGGTCAAGGTGGGTGGTAAGGTAAAGCCCTAGGACTCCAGACTTGACCCAGTGGTTGAAACAAATCCAAGAGTTGCCCCCTTTTTATTTTTTTGAGAATGAGGAAAGCTTCACAGAGCAAACCTGTCCCCTTCTACAACTCCATTGGTTCCTAAATTCTAGATCTGGACAGTATGAAAAATTCAAGTTCTTGAAAAATAAAAATCAATAATGCATTTTTCTTTTGGACATACACAGATGTAAAAGCATTTTTTTAAAGGACTGTGAGACTATGTACAAAGCTGATTGTACATGGCACTTTTGGAGAGAGCCTTCTTCTCAGGGCCATCTTCCGGGAAAAGAATCCATTCTCTGGCAGTTCTCTCACAGCCAAACTTTCCTCTTTGGTTTGATACCTAGTTACTGAGCAGTGGTTAAGGAGGTTCTTCCCATTTCAGGCTACTAGTTCAGAAGGGCTCCTCCATTCCAGGGTATCCATCAAGCAGGGATTGCAAGGATGTCTGAGTGACCAGAGTCTTCTGTAGGGTATGGCTAGCAGGGAAAAAGGGCCCAGTCCCAGGCATTGGGTTACTCAGAAGCTCACCAGACAGAGACCCCAAGAGGCAGCCAACAGGGAAGACCTTACTGTCCACTGCAAAGCCACATTCTGATGACAATAAAAGGACACCCATGCAAGGGCCTGTAAGAGAAGAAGAACCAACATGGATTGTGCTCCTACTTGTGCCAGGCACCAACAGTACCAGGATACCTTGGCTGAGGAGAGATAGTTTGAGGAGGAACAACCTTCTGTTACTGAGCAAAGGGTGGAAGCGGTGAGAACTCTTTATTCACCCACAAACTCTTCTCTGGTAGCCACCTGTCATTGTGTGTGCACTTGCTGGTCTTCGTGTCTTCACATTGCATGCCGTGAAGACACCTCTATTAAAGCATTTTCATAGAAAAAAAAAGAGGTCTTACATTGAGCATCTGATTTAATCTTCTCTAAAAACCTGCAGAGATGGGTACTATTATCCCCATAATACAGATGAAGAAACTGAGACACAGAGAGACTAGGTTATTTGCTCAAGCTCACTTAAGCTCTTAACCACTACTCTATAGCTGCTCTGGAGACAAACCAGAAAACCAAAAAAGGGTGGAGGGGAGAAAACGAACACATACATTCCTCTCAATCATTATATTAACACTTGAAGGTAGGGAGTATTATCCCCACTGTATAGGTGAGGAAACTGAAACTTAGTTAACAGGTGTCCCAAGGTCACACAGCTGGTAAGCATTGCTCCAGGTATGGAGCCCAAGACTGTCAGCCTCTAAGGCCCAAAACCCGATTCCTCAATGACGATTTCCAACCAGGGAAATGGAGCAGGCTTCAGCATAGTTGGCATTGGAACGAAATGCAGGGTTCACTGGACACAGGTGGGAGGGCAGGCAGGCCATGCCATAGGCCTGCATCAACAAAGTCCCAGGCTTGAAAATGCATGGTCTGTCTGTCAATAGAGGAATGGCGCCTAACGACACATTCCTTTAGTACGGTTCTAACTGGACAATAAGATGCCACATCTGACTATTTTGAGATGTGAAAATGATTACAAAATAAATATACATTGAACTCAGAATATAAAACTGTATATACCAAGATGCCAATTTGGTAGAGGTGTGTGTGTGTGTGTGTGTGTGTGTGTGTGTGTGTGTCTACAAGAAAATCTACCATCTTGTTCAGTGGATTGTTCAGGATGTGAGGCTCATGAATAATTTTAGTTTTCTGATTTTACTTTTCTGTATTTCAAACACATTGAACGGTACCTTTACAGCTATGAAAAGAGATCTTATTTGCTTACAAAGTTGCAAGGCACAGCTTTTTCCTGATACCATTGCCAGGGAAAGGATGAACCTCTCCTCATCCCATGGACCCTCCTCCTCTCCTGTCTTGCCAGCTCATGAGTTGATTTTCCAAGACTTTCCATTTGTGAGCTCTTGATGTTTAATTCAACATCGAGGATTCAACATTCAAATTTGTTAAAACAATTTTGGTGGGAGTGGAAGAGATGATGTCCAATGTGATCTGCTTTGAAGACCTCAGGGAGGCCTATAATTTACCCATGCCTGGAATACCCATGTGAAAGCTTTAGGTTTCCCTCAGCTGTTCCCATCTGACCATGGCAAAGTGTGGTTTCCCCTGAAATCCTCAGCAGATGGTGAGCACACAGCCTGTAAGTCTCATCTTGCTGTCTCTCTACCTCACTCTGCCCTTCCATCACTGCCTGTGTAGAAAGCAAACCCTTAAGCAAGCAACTGAAGTTGAAGTTGCTATGATTTTAAAAGCTTTTAGAGACAAAATCAACCTGGAATGTAGTGGTATGTAATGACAAAGTTGACTCCATTTACTTTCGTTCTTATGACTTCATTGTCATATATTCCCGTTTGTATTTGAAGGAGTTTATCACAGATGCTGTTATTTAAGTGTTATTAAAAAAATTCTGAAGCTAAAGAAAAAGAAATCATATACAAGGAATGGCCACCTGGATTGAAACAAAAAAGTTGTTCCAGTTTAAAAGTAGTCCTTGGGTTGACTTAAAAAGAATTCAAACATCCCCTCCCCCTAGATTTAAAAAGTATCTCTCCTTCTCCCCACTTTGTATTTTTTAAAAGGTCTTGGGTTCCATTTTCAAAATAAGTTCTATATTTTTAAGGGTGACACATACCAAGTAACCAGAAACTGGCCTTGGCTTGGAAAACCTCCCAGTTCTCATCAACATGCAATCACTAGCTCCTTTCAGCATGATGAATACTATTGATTGGCTCAGATATGCTTGTGACCCAGCAGGGGTATTAGACATTGGCTATAAAACATCTCGTTATGAATTTTTTATTGGCTTGAGTGTCTGAAGAGCTGGGCAGCTGCCTCCCCAAGTGCTCTCCCTCCCTCCTTGCTCTCCCTCCTCCTCTCTGTGTCTCTGGGCAGATGATGCCACTCTGCAGGGCCACATTATTGGATCAGAGCGATTAGCTTTACAGCCTGTTTTTCCGAGTAGAATCCAATTTCTTTTTCAGGTGCAGTGGGCTTACGAGTAGTCATGTGCTTTTTGTTTTGCGATGGCATCACAGGATTACTAGAAGATGCAGTAAACTGAAGTCATTTCCCATTAGCTGTACTTCTCGGGATACTAAGACAATGTGTCACTCTGCACTTGCAGCATCACAAGCACTTTTCAGGAGAAAGAGTGCCTTCGGCAGCTCAAGGAGAAGCTGACAAAGAGCTGAATTTCTCGTACTGTCCAGATCCAATGGAGATGTAGAAGAGGACAAGTTTGCTCTGAGTGAAGCTTTCCCCATTCTCAAAAATAAAAAATAAAAATAAATAAAGAAAAAGGGGGCAACTCTTGGGTTTGCTTCAGCCACTGGGTCAAGTCTGGAGTCCTGGGGCTTTACCTTACCACCCGCTTCAGTGTGAGCTTGATAAATCCTCAATAGGAGTCTCTGAGAGATTACCGAGGCTCTCAGACAAAGCAGACTCTCGAGAAGCACCGTGGCAGGCACTGCCAAACACCTTCACTCATGATTCTCATCATAACCACAAGAGAGGAGGAACATTGCTCCCACTTTCACACTGGTGGAAACTGAGTAGCTGAGAACCTTGGTAATCACTCAGAAACTCCCATTGTGGATTTATCAAGCTTACACTGAAGTGGGTGGTAAGGTAAAGCCCTAGGACCCCAGACTTGACCCAGTGGTTGAAGCAAACCCAAGAGTTGCCCCCCTTTTTATTTTTTTGAGAATGGGGAAAGCTTCACTCAGAGCAAACCTCTCCCCTTCTACATCTCCATTGGTCCCTAAATTCTAGATTTGGACAGTATGAAAAATTCAAGTTCTTGAAAAATAAAAATCAGTAATGCATATCTCCTTTGGACATACACAGATGTAAAAGCATTTTTTTAAAGGACTGTGAGACTACATACAAAGTTGATTATATGTGGCAGTTTTGGAGAGAGGGAGAGAAAGAAATGGAAAGGAGGTAGGTGGAGATAAGGAGTGATTATGTTATTATAGGAAAAGAGCACTTAGCTTTATCTGTGATGTTCTAATACTTTTTAAAAAGGGGAATGTGTTCATGTTTTACTTTAATCATTGCTTTAACATATATAGAATAAGCATATATAGAAAAAGCAAGTGTATCAAATAAATGAAAAATTTTGAGTCATTAAAGAAAATTCAAGTTCTCATGTTTAGAAATGGGCTTTCTTCTCAATTACACTTTTGTATCTAGGTGAAATTGGGTTAAAATAAACTTCAAGCACCAATTTTGGGGAGAAAATACATAGCACAAGGTCACTGGGTAGTCTGTGGAATGGAGAGGTTAGTGGTGATTGGGCAGGTTGAATGACTGAGGGATTAACATGTGTATATGACCTCCTCTCGCATGTGTGGTCTTCTCTCTGGTTCTGCTTCCTCTGTAAAACATGAAGCGCCTGTGAAAAACTCATAACACAAAGCGAGGAAGAACCTTGAGTCTCTATGGTTGACTATCCCAAATAAGTCTGCCCTCCTTACCCATGGGTTCCACATCAGTGGATTCAAGCAACCGCAGATAAAAAATATTCAGAAAAAAGAGCATGCCTGTCCTGAATATGTACAGACCTTCTTCTTGCCATTATTTCCTAAACAATACAGTATAAAAACTATTTACTTAGAACTTACATTGTATTAGGTATTACAAATAATCCAGACATGACTTAAAGTGTACAGAAGGATGTGCGTTTTATATCAGGGACTTTATATCTGAGGATTCTGGTATCTGCAGAGGTCCTGGAACCAATCCCCCACAGATACCAAAACATGACTGCATTTTGTTGTACAATCAAAGGAGAAAAAAATAAAGTAAAGGAATCAGGAAATGCCATGTTGTAAATGAAAGTGAGAATTCTTCCTGGTTTCAGTCTCTGTTAAGGAAATCCAAATCCAAACTCTACCTGGGAACAGTGGCTAGTTTTAACAAAGTGTATCACTCGTCTCATTCACAGCAACCTGCATACCTGAGCCACGAGGCTACAGTTCCCAAAAACAACTATGCCAAAAGAAACTGTTCTTTGCATCTATCTCCAGAGTGCTTATCACTGTAGCACAACTACACCATTTGTTCTTGAGCCATTGATATAAATTGTTTGGTAAGTTTGAAGAATAAAAACAAATACACACCCACCTAGTCCCTTCTACAGAGGCCAGTTGAGATAAATACACTGAGATGCCTAAGAAGACTATATTGTTTCTGCTCCTAGATATTAGGCATTTTCCTATATCTGCTCCCTGATTTTATAGACTAAAACTCCCAAGTGAACATGAACTTGTCTATTTCTAGACAGAGAGCTTCCAGAAGCTAGTTTCCAAGCCAGAGTGGATGGAAATGTCACGTTGTGGATGTTTCAAAACTCATGAGCCTGACTGACCCCTCTGTTGGAGTGGTCATGATTTTCCAGAGAGCAGCTGTTAGCCCATCCATTTCATGGTTATTACAGACTCCTTGGATGACAGGATCCTTTGCCATTCCTCTGTGAATATCTCATACTGATTACACAGTTTCTGAGCCCTCAGGACTTTTCTGCAAATTTGCACTTATTAGTAAATTTTTAATCAGGGAAGATGTGCAAAATACTGCATTAAACTCAAGGATAATCATTCTGGAATATCATAGTGGGAAGGAATTCCCATTGGTCCTCTAAATTGCCATGTGCACCTACAGTCCTCAGCCTCAGTGGATCTCCTTTTTCTGCTTCCCTTTGTTTTGCCCTCAGGAAGTAACAGCCCTTTGTAGAATTATAAAGTCACCCTTTATAACTATGCTCTCATTAAGTTTTGGAAGGCCTATTTTCCTTGTATCTTTAGGCTTTTCATCATGTAGTAAACAAGCTGAGTATTAGAAATTAAGTGGCTCTTAAGAAAAGGGTCTGATGTAGAGTGGTATTAAGAAGGACAAAGTTCAACCAGTTTCTTTAAAACTACAACTGTGATGATGAGGGCTACGTGGCAGGAGAAGGTCTGAAGTCACATGTGTCTTTGAGGGACGCCGTCCCAGATCTCATGACAAAGATGACACAAGATGACAGGGCATCTGGGAAGGCTGTTTGCATCTGCCTTGCAATCAGTGGGTGAGAGAGTGGGTTGATTCTGATGACTATGGTGAGCTTTTCCTTCCTCCTATTCTAAAAAGGTGAGTGGCCGGATGTTGCATGGTCTGGAAAGTGTCCTTCAAATGAATATCATACATTGTGAAGATCTGTGAAGATTGGATCTTATGAGATTGTATTTATTTTTTTATTTTGGTGGAAAATGTTTTCTTAACTAGTAGTGTGATCATGACACAGAAGTCTATTTCCACCTCCAGCTCAGAGAAATAGTGTGGGAGCAACAGAGAAGGAGCAGAAAATAAACTTTTTCTTCAGGCTTTAAGGAGGGGTAGCTCCCTCCACAGGTCAGCGAATGCCTTTCAAGATCACTTTTGTAACCTCCTTTGCCCTTAGGCCCCTACAGCCAGGCAATTTCACTGCCCACAGAAGGCAGTCCTCATGCTTGCGCTGTCTTCAAGTCTGTCCCCAGGCTGAAGGTTGCCTTCTCTTACTCATTCTGACTCCTTCAAGCCAACCTTCAAATTCAGCTTAGGGATGGATACCTCGCCTTTTATTCCAGCCCCTCATTATTCCAGTTAAGAACCTGTCAGTATGAGGCAGGAGAATAGGGTTTGGAGACAGAGAACATAAGGACTTCCTAGAACTAAATCAAATGGAAACACTTCAGCTATGCCAGGAAATATCCTCTCCATTTACATAGGGCGCAGGCGGAGTAAGTAACTTTGTAACTTTACTTCATCCTCTTCATTTACATAGGGTGTACACCAAGTAACCAATAGAAACCTCTAGAGGGTATTTAAACCCCCCAAAATTCTCTAAGGGGACTCCTGAGCCCCTATGCTTGGGCCCATTCCCAGCCAGTAGAGGATACTTTCATTTTCAATACATCTCTGCTTTTGTTGCTTCATTCTTTCCTTGCTTTGTGTGTTTTGTCCAATTCTTTGTTCAAAATGCCAAGAACTTGGACACCCTCCACCTGTAACAAGTAGACTGATCCCACCTTTAGGCAGAGACCTGATTCATCCCTCCCCCAATTCTTCCTTTACCCAGATACCAAACCTGGCACAGAACAATGGTCAATGATGTTGGTGAACCCAGTTGATTAATTCTGGCTCCACTCTTGGCACAGTTCTTTTCCTTCCTCCTGTTCTAGAAAGGTGAGTGTTACATATGTGGTCTTTTCCCACCTACTGTCTCGTCACCTTTTATGTCTGCACCTCTGCATCTCCTTCCACAGCTCCCAGTTTCCGCTGCTGCTTTGGGAGGTCATTAGCAACTGTTTGTTGACTGGCCCTCAAGAACAGAACATGTCATAGGAAGTTATGTGACAGACAGATCCTAACCTGGACTGGTGTGTAGTTTCAATACTTTGGGCAAACTATTTACCTAATAATGGGTGTCTACAAAAACAACAAGTCAGACAACTCTTTTCTCTCTCCTCCCACCCCTTCCCACCAAATTTCATGAGAGAGTAATCTGTATCTACTGCCTTTATCTCATACCTTGTCCATTTAAATCTGATTTCACTTCCCAT
The DNA here is from genome assembly GCF_000001405.40 of Homo sapiens. Lineage (NCBI taxonomy): Eukaryota > Metazoa > Chordata > Mammalia > Primates > Hominidae > Homo > Homo sapiens. Next base: position 212,534,180 of record NC_000001.11, read on the forward strand.
GCTCCCTGCACACTTATGCAAACTCTGAAATTGCTCACTGCTATGTAATAGCTTTTCCTGAATTTTATCCTTGCTAATCTTCCTAATGAGTTTGATGCAGCTGTTCTGTTCACGACTGCCTTGAAAATTTTCTTCCCTTACCTTTGGAGTGACTGGAAAACAGTTTGCCTCTCACCTCTCACTAACTTACTTCTCTCTCCTTGTTGGCTCATCTGTGCCTTACTTAAAACACAGGTGTGTCCCAAGATTTCTCCTCAATTCTGTTTTTCTTCATTTTCTGTATTTCCTTTCTGATGATCTCAAGTACCCCTACTATTTCAATTAACACCTCCATGCAGATGTTATCCTAGTCCAGATCTTTATCCCTAGACTAAATTATCTACAGAGTTCTAGTTTCATATTTTCTTTTCTTTTTTTGAGACAGGGTCTCACTCTTGTCACTCAGGTTGGAGTGCAATGGCATGATCTCAGCTTACCACAACCTCCACCTCCTGGGTTCAAGCCATTCTCCTGCCTCAGCCTCCCGAGTAGCTGGGGTTATAGGCATGCACCACCATACCCAGCTAATTTTTGTATTTTTAGTAGAGACAGGGTTTTACCATGTTGGCCAGTCTGGTCTCGAACTCCTGACCTCAGATGATCCACCCATTTCTGCCTCCCAAAGTGCTAGGATTACAGGCGTAAGCCACCATGCCCAGCCCATATTTTCTTTTCTTTTAGAGACAGGGTCTTGCTCTATTGCCCAGGCTGGAGTGCAGTGGCACAATATGGCTCATTGCAGCTCGACTTCCCAGGCTAAAGTGACCCTCCTACCTCACCTCCCAAGTATCTGGGACTATAGGTATATACAACCATGCCAAGCTAATTTTTGTTTTGTGTTTTGTTTTTTGTAGACATGGAGTTCTACCATGTTGCTGAGGCTCATATTTTCAATTGTCTACTGGATGGCTTCATCTAGATGATTCTCCTAGTCTTTCAAATGCAGGGGTTAAAATGAGAACAAATAATCTTGTCCCTCCAACCACCTCCTCCTCCTAACTTCCCTATTAATATTTGTAAAAGAACATAAGCCACTAACATTGAAATAAGATTTAAAACGGAACCATCTTTCACTCCTCCATCTCTCTTAAGCCCATATCTAATGAGTTGACTAATTACAGAGTCAACATGCATTCACTGATTGCCTACTATATGCCTGACTCAGGGGATGTAGTGTGGAAAAATTAAAGCAGAGAGAGAAAAAGAGCAAGAGTGAGAGTGAGAGAAAGAGAGGAGAGAGAGAGAGAGAGAGAGAGAGAGAGAGAGAGAGAGATAAGGTCTTTCCCCTGGTGAGCTTATGGTCTAACGGGAGAAAAAGACATTCAGCAAACAATCTCACAAAAAAGTTGATGATCACATGTAAATAGTGCTTGAAAGAAAGCTAGATGCTGCTCTGAGAACTTATTTTAAAGGGACGACAGGAAAATTATTCATTCACTTGATGAATATTTATTGACCATCTACTAAAGGCCAAGCACTGTCTGGGTGCCAAAGTGTCAAGCCCACCTCTGCAGTGCCTCTCAAGGCTTCTCCAGCACAGGGCAGGTCCCTATTCCCTGTTCTTCAAGCTTCCTAACAGCCCCTCCTAACGGTCTCTCCACGTTTCAACTCAGCCCAAATGCTGCTATCAGACGAATATTCCTGTAAGGCTGCTTTCTTATATTAGTTGCAGTAAAGAATTCAAGGCCAGGCTCAGTGGCTCATGCCTGTAATCCCAGCACTTTGGGAGGCCGGGATGGGCGGATCACGAGGTCAAGAGATTGAGACCATCCTGGCCAACATGGTGAAACCCCGTCTCTACTAAAAATACAAAAATTAGCTGGGCATGGTGTTGCACCTGTAGTCCCAGCTATAGTCCCAGCTACTCGGGAGGCTGAGGCAGGAGAATTGCTTGAATCCAGGAGGTGGTTGCAGTAAGTCAAGATCACGCCACTGCATTCTAGCCTGGCAAGTGGCAACAGAGGGAGACTCCGTCTCAAAAAAAAAAAAAAAAATTCAAGACCCCATCTGAGGCCTGACCTCCCATCTTTCTTTCTGGTCTTACCTCCTAATCCCCTTTCATGTTTACCTGCCTTCCAGCCAAACAGAATTACTCTGTGTTCACAAACACGTCCCATGCTTTTTTACCCAAAGTTATGCTTTCCACTTGGAATCCCATGTGGTCTGTTCATTGAAAGCCTTCTTTCCTCTTTCAAAGTTCAGCTTAATGGCTTTATAACTTAAAGATTTGTGCCTTATTTCCCCTAATATCTTGCACCAATGGCAAGGACTGGGTTCTATTTATATTTATAGTAAGTCCACTCACCAATCTGCTTACAACTTGCAAAGGAACCTTCTCATTACAGATGCTTAATAGGTATTTTCTTATTTTTGTCAGTAATAAGTAAATGCTTATTGCTGACAAATAATTGTTGTCAGAAATGTTTTTCTAGTCATTTGCATGTATACATTACAATATCTCTTTCCAACACGATTATAAATTTTTTTTTTTTTTGAGGTTGAGTCTCGCTCTGTTCACCAGGATGGAATGCAGTGGTGCGATCTTGGCTGACTGCAACCTCCACTTCCTGGGCTTAAGCAATTCTCCTGCCTCAGCCTGGCAAGTAACTGGGATTACAGGTGTCTGCCCCCAGGCCAGGCTAATTTTTGTATTTTTAGTAGAGATGGGATTTAGCCATGTTGCCCAAGCTGGTCTCAAACTCATGAGCTCAAGCGATCTGCTGCCCGCCTCGGCCTCCCAGAGTGTTGGGTTTACAGGCATGAGCCACCATGCCTGGACTGGATTATAAAATCTTTAAAAGCAGAGGAAATGTTTTCTTCTTTTCACTTTGTTTTCTCCATAGTTCTTAGCATAGAACTGTAAATAGAGGAGGAATATAAATATTAGCCAAATGAACAAGTGATAAGATATGCTTTTTCACAGGAAAATATATATTAAATCAAAATCCATGGCTATATTCCTCAGTTTAAGATATTGCCATGTTTGGATCTTAGGAAAAGAAAAACCTATAGCTGGTATATAGCTGGTATATTAACATCCATACATTTCTTTTTTTTTTTTTTTGAAATGGAGTCTTGCTGTGCTGCCCAGGCTGGAGTGCAGTGGTACAATCTCGGCTCACTGTAATCTCTGCCTCCCAGGTTCAGGAGGTTCTCCTGCCTCAGCCTCCCGAGTAGCTGGGATTACAGGCACATGCCACCACACTCGGCTAATTTTTGTATTTTTAGTAGAGACAGGGTTTCACCATATTGACCAGACTGGTCTCGAACTCCTGACCTCAAGTGATCCACCTGCCTCGGCCTCCCAAAGTGTTGGGATTACAGGCATGAGCCACTGTGCCCAGGATCCATAAAATTCTTTAGCTGTGTTTTGGCCTTTGTAGTTTCCTAAGCAACCATTGCTGTTCTACAAGCTATCACTTTTTAACTCTACCTTGTTAAATTCCATTCTCGGTCCATTAAAAAAGTTATCTTGAGTTTTCCTGATAGATTATCATTATCTATAAAGATAATTTTGTCTGTACTTTAAAATAGTTATATCATTTCTTTCTTTTTCTTATCTTATTGCATTGGTTAGAACTTCCAGATCAATATTTTAAAAATGGGAAGAATAAGCCTTTTGCCTTAGTGGTTTTTTTTTTTTTAATTTTCCTACTAGCAGTTATTATGTTAGCTGTTGGTTTGAAATAAATACTTTTGAAAAACATTTGTCTATTCTAAATCATGAAATTGCATCTAATCATTTCTTTTTATAATAAACATTGTTTGTACACTTATTAGATTGCTCTGTCAAACTGAGCTACATAACTTAAGTGAAGGGGAGATTTGGCTACTATTTGGTGATAGGATCAGTTATAGAGTGCCAAGCCAGATAACATAAATCATGAGTCATTTGGCCTATCTTTACTGATAAAATTATCAAGAGAATTGGTGAACCTACATTAGTCTTTGTGCCATTTAGACACAAAATCTCTGGGAAAAGGTGACAAAATATGAAAATGCTCATGAATTCGTCTATCCTTTCATTCATCATCTATTCATTCATTTGACAAATATTTATTTAGTATTGCTATGTGCCAAACACTATTCCAGCATTGAGCTATAAGAATAAACAAGACGGCCGGGTGCAGTGGCTCACACCTGTAATCCCAGCACTTTGGGAGGCGGAGGTGGGCAGATCACGAGGTCAGGAGATTGAGACCACCCTGGCTAACACAGTGAAACCCCATCTCTACTAAAAATACAAAAAATTAGCCAGGTGTGGTGGCAGGCACCTGTAGTCCCAGCTACTCGGGAAGCTGAGGTAGGAGAATCGCTTGAACTCGGGAGGTGGAGGTTGCAGAGACTCTGTCTCAAAAAAAAAAAAAAAAAAAAAAAGAATAAGATGCCAGCCATGGTGGCTCATGCCTGTAATCCCAGCACTTTGGGAGGCTGAGGTGAGTGGATCATGAGGTCAGGAGTTCAGGACCAGCCTGGCCAACATGATGAAACCCCGTCTCTACTAAAAATACAAAAATTAGCTGGGGATGGTGGCATGTGCCTGTAATCCCAGCTACTCTGGAGGCTGAGGCAGGAAACTTACTTGAACTGTGACCTGGGAGGCGGAGGTTACAGTGAGCCGAGATTGTGCCACTGCACTCCAGCCTGGGCTACAGAGCAAGACTTCATCTCAAAAAAAAAAAAAAAAAAAAAAAAAAAGAGAATACACAAGACAAAGTCCCTATTCTTGTGGAGCTTTCTGTCTAGAGAGGGCAAACAAATAACAAGCTGACAAATAAGTGAACAAGATTTTTAAAAATAGATATTCACGACCGGGCGTGGTGGCTCACACCTGTAATCCTAGCACTTTGGGAAGCCAAGGCAGGAGGATCACCTGAGGTCAGGAGTTCGAGACCAGACTGGCCAACATGGTGAAACCCCATCTCAAAAATTAGTCTGGTGTGGTGGCAGGCCCCTGTAATCCCAGCTACTCGGGAGGCTGAGGCAGGAGAATGGCTTGAACCCAGGAGGCGGAGGTTGCAGGGAGCCAAGATTGTGCCACTGCACTCCAGCCTGGGCAACAAGAACGCAATTCCATCTCAAAAAAAAGAAAAAAGATATTCATAAATGCTATAAAGATAACAAAATGAAATGATATGTTAGAGAGTGACTTATGGAGATGGGATATTTCAGTGAAAGTGGTCAGAGAAGGCTTCTCCAAGGAATGATATTTGAACAGAGACCTAAGTGACAAGAAGAAACCAGCTATGTAAAGATCACAGAGGCATTGCAGGCAGAGGAAATAGCAAATGCAAAGACACTAAGGTGAAAATGATCTTGGCATTTTACAAGAGCAAAGAGAATGATGAGGAGCAGTGAATGGAAGGAGAACAATAAAATATAAGGTTGGAGTGGTAGGAAGACCAGATGATGGTGAATAATTTGGATTACATGTATGCATGAAAATCATTTTTAAGGATGATAGTAATACATTTGATAAGATGAAATACATTTAGAAGATTTGCAGTGCAAATTATAAACACATAAAATTAACTGAATATCTTAAATAGAAAGGAAAAGTGCCCAAATAAGGCAAATAAGCTCTTTATTCCATTCTATTCCAGACCCACCTCTCATATACTTGTGTTTTGTCACTTTGAATGGCAACAAAGACCTTGAAATGATAACATGCATGCGTTCCTGGGGGCAAAATTGCTTATGCAACAGATTGTGAGCCAAGATCTTTTTGGCAGTTTAGTATGTTAGAGAGACATACCATCCCAGGCAATTAGCGTGGGCTTTCCAAAGCTGAGGAATCACATCATCCATATTAGTTGCAGCCTTCATGGTAAGTCAAACAGAACCACATGACTTAGTTCCTTTCTTTGTACTTTTATTGGAGAGAACCAGCAAATGAAACACTTTTGGTGCCCACTAAAGCTATCCAAAAATAAAATGTGTAACAATTGAACTTGGGTGACTCAGGGTGGTCATTCTCCGCCTGTCTTGATTTAGAAGATGGGGCTATTTTTGGTTTGTCCTAACTGGTTGGTTGTTGCGGTCTCAGACCAGGCCCAGCACAATGGTCAAAGGAGTGCTTTGTCACACGGCACAGAAGCTTGTGCCCAAAAACCTGGTAACTTTCTGTCCCTTTGTGAAAGAAGAACATCAAATCCCAGTGTGGTTAGATTCTGCTGCGGCAGCCTCCAAAAGGCTGCTTATGGCTTTGTTATATTGGAGTTTTAAAATTTCACATAGTGGTCATGTTTTTGAAAAGAGCAACTCACCAGTGAGCTTTCCTGGGTCGTGGTGGTTGTCGTGGTGATCAGCATCAGACAAAGGCAGGAGTAGGCTCCTCTACTTGCACACGACGGGGAGCTCATCCCTCCTCAGGCAAGCAAAGCACTGGGCACAGGGCCTGGAATTAGAGTCACCCCTCAATGAAGGTCATCTGCTTGATTTTGGATTTCACATTTACCTAGCCCCCAGATGGATTAGTTAGCAGTCTGTAGAGCAGCTCCCAAACAGCAGTCCACAGAACTAGGCCAGTCCATTTTTAGTGGTCTCCAGCAAAATGAGAAGAAACTATTTTTTGAAATAATGAGTAAATACTCATGCATACATGTGAGATGGTTTAAAGTGATCACTGGCCACTTCTTGTGAACTGCCTTGACTCTGATATTTTTGTCTCGCCTACCAGGTTTTTCTTAAAGTTGACACACTCTGTCTTTTAATAAAGAATGTTGTCAGTATATGGCAGCAATTGTTGGTTTAAATATCCTTACGTGGCAAAAGTAAGAGTAAAACATGGAAGGAAGTTTTTCTAATTATCTCTATGCCAATCCCACCCCAGCCAATTTTTTGAAATTTTACTGAGCCCAGCACTCTGAATCTGGAAACCCCTAATCTGGATGGTTTCAGTCTCTAGTTTTCTGGCCTTTCTGGTCCCTACTGAAGTATATGGGATGGTTAAATGCTTACTCTGTACTCTCTTTACCAATTTACACCCTTTTTCGATGTAGTATCTTACAACTGAAAGCTGGAGACCTGAAAGAGAGAGAAGGGGCATGATAAGGAAGCAGGAATAAATAATGGCTATTATTTATTTTATTTTATTAATTTTTTTTTTTTTGAGATGGAGTCTCGCTTTGTCGCCAGGCTGGAGTGCAGTGGTGCAAGCTCTGCTCACTGCAACCTCCCCTTCCTGGGTTCAAGAGATTCTCCTGCCTAAGCCTCCCAAGTAGCTGGGATTACAGGCATGTGCTACCATGCCTGGCTAATTTTTGTATTTTTAGTAGAAACGGGGTTTCGCCATGTTGGCCAGGCTGGTCTCAAACTCCTGACCTCAGATGATCTGCCCACCTCGGCCTCCCAAAATGCTGGGATTACAGGTGTGAGCCACCTGCGCCCTGCCGGCTATTTATATTAATATCAGTGGTATTTATATTGGTATTGCAGAGGGGCAGAAAATAAGGCCAAATAAAATATACAGTTTTTTAGAATGATAAATATAAAAGGAAGTTTTTCTAATGAGTATATCACTTGTGAGTGATTTGTTTTGTGATAATACGAAAACATTTTTAAAATTGCATGCTTCTGTCCCTTCAACTTTCGCTGCCCTTAGTTTGCAAACATAAGTGGTGCTTTAGACATTCCTTTTAAAAAATATTTAATGCCATAGGGCAAATGTAGATTTTCTATAATTAAATCAGTCTAAATTACTGCTTACATGGTAGAGATGGTAAATAAGAATGTAAAATAACAAAATGGCTATTTTTGTCTTAGCAGGACTTCCTGGCCACAGTACAGGACTCTGAGATGCAGGTCTTGTATTCAGCTAAGCCACTGCTTTGCTGTATCTCATTGAGAAATGGCTTAAGCCACCTCTGTTCCCTGTTTATGAATTTGAGATAGTAAAATTTGTCACTAATGGTCCATCATCAGGGTGTTGATTAAAACAGATTATTAGAAACGATGGCCTTATATACTGGGAAGGCAGTTACCTGTGTCTTTATACCATATCATGTCTATAATAAATAATAACATAAGGAAGGCTGGGCCCAGTGGCTTACACCTGTGAGGCTGAGGCGGGAGGACTGCTTGAGCTCATAAGTTCGAGACCAGCATAAGCAACATAGTGAAACCCTGTCTCTACAAAAAATATAAAAATTACCCTGGTATGGTGGCACGCATCTGTAGTCCCAGCTACCTGGAAGGCTGGATCACTTGAGCTGGGGAATTGGAGGTTGCAGCGAGCCATGATCGTGCTACTGCACTCCAGCCTGTTCGACACAGAGAGGCCCTGTCTCAAAAAAAAAAAAAAAAAAGAAAAGTAAAAATAAAAATAAATAAATAATAACATAAAGGAAAACTAAAAATGTGGATTAACAAGTTTATAATGCTATTAATAACAGTTTTTATTTACCCTGCATTTATTATGTGCCAGGCATCGCGCTAAGTGCTTTATAAACAACGTATGATTGGCCCTTTAGAGTAACCTTGCAGGAAGGCACCATTACTACCTTCAACTTAAAGTTCAGGAAACTGGGGCTTTTTGAAATAATTCCCCAAGAGTAACAAATGGCAGGCTGGAAGCCCTCTTGGGAGACAGGCAGCCCACCTGTTCCCGTAGAGCAGTGTGACTGCCTCTGAATCTGTGTTGACCAGGCTGGTGAGTATGTACGTCCTCCTCCAACACCTAATAAGGCAATATTTTCCTTTTTCTTCCTCTAGTTCCTTATGTAAAAAATGTTTAATTTCCCTTTGTCTTTTGTCATTTGACTTTCATTTCCCATTTTGGGTTTTCTGCTTCTCTGACACGGAGCCTTCTGTTCTGCCCTGCTTCATTTCTCTTCTTGGTGGATTTGACCTAAGTTCCAGTTTTTGTGCCTTTTCCTTTGTGTTTCGGTTCCTTATATAGTCTGCACGAAGCCAAGTGAAGTTACCTTCTATGGTTGACATCCCTTTTTTGTTCACTGGAAGTTTTCTAGTTTTCCTGTGTTCTTTTGATACATATATACTTATCTGAAAGGGGTTTCCGTTGGAGTCCTCTAGGTTAGACTTCACAAAGAATTTTCTGATTTAAGTGCTGTAGTGCATTAGAATATTTTACTGAGAAGGATTATAAAGTGCTTACAGGTTTTTTGTTTTTATAAAGAAAGAACAAAAGATGATAGAAGGAAGAGGGATGGAGGGGTTAGAATATTATCTTGCTGAGATGCAGAGGAAGGGAGAGAGAGAAAAATTGGTGGCTTCCACTGATGGCGTTCTAGTTAAATTCTGGACTATTTGTACTATTTCAGTACATAGAATAATAGAACTCATAAACAGAAATTATCATCATCACAACATTGGATATTTTGTTAGGTTTTGTTTTGTTTGGAAGTAAGGATGTTCCTCTACCCAGTGTGGTTTTGGTCCTGATCAGGAATTCAGGTTCTAAATGGTTCAATAAAGTGGCCATGGCAGCAGAGCACATGGAAACAAATACTGGATTCAGGGCCAGAGACCTAGACCAAGTCCTGGTTTTCCTAGTAACTAGCTGTGTGATCTCTAGCAAGTTATCTGTCTTCTCTGAGTCTGTTTTCTTACTAGTATAATGAGTGGAAAGGATTAGATAACCTACTGCTAAACTTTTCATACATTATAGTTCTCAGTGTAAACACATTTTCCCTCTTTCTTGTAAAAACTTGGAAAATCTCATTACTAAAAGAAAGTTATCTGTGGTGAGGAAGACCATCAGTAACTCCAGCCTTGCCCTAGTTAGATCTTGGCAACTAATACTTCCAAGTTCCCTGTATACGTGCATATCAGCTATTTTCCAGAGAACGGTAAAATTCTGTAATAATGTCACCTCACAATTGTGATTATATCTGAATCAGATACCTTGTTTAGAGGTTATCTAAACTCCTTTTCAGAAGAAATACAGTAACATGCCATGCAGGTTTGTAGACTAGAAGCAATAAGCTATACCACATAGCCTAGGTGTGTAGTAAGCTATACCATCTAGGTTTGTGTAAACACACTCTAGGATACTTCATGACAAAGTTGTCTAATAATGCATTTCTCAGAACATAACCCTGTCATTAAGTGAAGTATGATTGTAATTGCATCACATTGCACACACAAGTCTTTATTTCACCCACTTTCATTTATGTCTGAGCTACATTAACCAAAAAATTGAAAGTTACATTCCAAAGGCAGAGCAAAGACAACTTAGTATCTCCCCACTTATTCCTGTAAAAGAAAACGTTATGAGTTTATCTATAGTTAGGCAAATGTCTTTTCTTATACTTTAATATCATTCTCATCACAGATGAAGAAAACAATACAATAAGTTACACTACAAATACTGATTTTCTTAGATCTTCAAAGCCTCCTCTTGTTTCTTTTCTCCTAAAGCAGATATAAGAACAAGGTTAGTGCCTGCCCTGGGTTTTTCTAAAAAGTGCAAAAGAATATAAAATGAAAAAGTAAAAATCTTCTCTTTATTCCTAACCCCCAATAATATTTATCAGAGTTAACTACTATTAATAGTTTCTTGTGTAGCTTTCCAGAATTTTCTAGGCATATGCAAGACCTACTTTTTTTTTCATTAATGAGATTATGCCATGGATGCTCATATGTATCTTACCATTTGTAAAAACAATTCATCTTGAAGATATTTCTATGACATCACGCAGGAAACAGGCTTATCTGCTAAAGTTCTTAAAAAACTAATGAGGCCGGGTGCAGTGGCTCACACCTGTAATCCCAGCACTTTGGGAGACCAAGGAGGGCAGATCACTTGAGGTCAGGCGTTCAAGACCAGCCTGATCAACACGGCGAAACCCCACCTCCACTAAAAATACAAAAATTAGCCGGGCGTGGTGGCATGTACCTGTAATTCCAGCTACATGGGAGGCTGAGGCAGGAGAATCGCTTGAATCCAGGAGGCAGGGGTTGCAGTGAGCCAAGATCGTGCCACTGCACTGCAGCTTGTGGGACATCACAAAAAACAAGACAAAACAAACACATAAATGAGATAATTCTGTATCATGATCAACACCAGATATGGGGTGCATTCTGCTCTCAAAAACATTAGTTTCCTTCCTCCCTTTCTTTAACAGAAGAGTCACCTGGATTTGTATTGTGATTCTGGAGGATTCTATCATCCATGGGTAGACACAGATGTAGTAAGTCACAGAATCACAGACTTTCTGAGGGGATGGCTCTTAGAGATTGCTTGGTTCAAGTGGCAGAGCCTGTACCAAGACCAAATCTTTGCTTTCAATTTGGTACTCCTTTAATCCTTTTTGTTTCTAATATAATTCTGACTTGTATTTATTGTTTATCTTAAAAATTAAAGTATGATATGTAATGGTGTTAGATGATAGTTATAAATCAGGTAGTATATACTGCTCAAAGAAGACAAGTTTTTAATTTTCCTTTAGAGAAGAAAGTTTTAAAAGTAGCTATGTCATTTTGCAATGTTTGATATCCTTGTGTTTTATCTAGGGGGTCTGTATCTCAAAGCCTTTAAAATGCTGATGGAAGGAGTGGAGATCCAGCGTTCAGGGTAGAAAAGAGGTAGGTAAACATCAAGAATCCAGGAGAATGCTCTAATATTGGAAAGGGAACAAAAGTTGGGAGCTACTTGGGGAGGGTAAAAGGAATTATGGAAGGAGTTTGGAATACCAGGAAGCATGAACAGTGATTTTTACATTGCATTTGTTCCAAAAAAATATTGGTTTGTTTGCATATAAGACAGGCAGGAGGAAAATCTGAACAGTGAAATTACTCAATTTGATCTAAAAATATTAGTGAATAACAGATTGAGCCAGCATCACAGTGATGTAGAATAAGCTCTTTTGTCCTGAGGAGTCTAGCTTGTTTTCCTCCTCCAAAGGAGCTAGCTGCCTAAGATGAGGTTAGGCAATCTATCACATGACTCAAAGTCAGGCGGCTCAGACTCCCATCTGAAAAATGGAAATTCTGAAAAACTCACGTTTGCATCATAATGATTTACTGAAGGCACAATAGAGCAAAGAAAAAAAAAGGCTTAAGGCCTAAATTTTGGCAATTCAAGTATTCTGTTATTTAGAAGTTATTCAAAGCATAGAATTAGAAAGAATCTTAAAGGTCATGAAGCATCTTCATTTTACAGATGAAGAAAAAAACAGGCACCCAGAGGCTAGTCTAGCTCTCACAGCAAGTCAGAGGAGCGTGGGACTAGAATCCAGATCTCCCCAGTCAGTGCCTGGGTTGTACTACTGAACCTCCCCCCAATAGAGCATTTATTTCCAGTCATCTGATGTTTACTCCATCTCATGGCAACACTCTCTTTAAAAAAATGACAGTATGTTCATCTTTTCTCTCTTCTAATTGTATGAAATTGCACATCTAACACAAAGGAATCGGAATCATGTATCGTTACCAGGGAAAGTGTTTAATGGACATCTAAATTATGTGAAAACACTTCTTTTGGTGAAAATCATGGCTGTCCCTTAAATCTTTCTGCTCCAAGACTATAAGGGTGCATTGAAACATTCACATCACACACACACACACACACACACACACACACACACACACACACACCATATAGACAAAAACAGACCATGCCTATTGGTTATATAATAGAGATTGTAGGAGAAAGGATAAGAGTAGAGAGCCTTATTTGATTCATTTCAAAATACTGCTGATTATAATTCACCTTTTGTAGTGATTTGCTAGTCAAATTCACTCAACAAGAATTTACTGAGTGCTTTCTGCTTCTTAAGCACTAAGTATTTAAATATGAAAAGACATAATTTCCCACTCAGGGAGCTCACAGTCTAGAGGAAGATATAAGTAAGTCGGGCAACAAGAAGATTTGGTGTCATATGCTAAAAGTATAGCTAACCGGACAGTTGATTTTTAGAAAGCAAAACCTTTTTAAACATTGTACTTAGCAATTCTTCGAATTTCCAGTTTCTAAAAAGTTTAAGAATATTTTGTTTCTATTCCATCCATAAAATGAATTTAATACTGAGAAACTAAGTCAGTCAAACAAGGAGTAATATTGGTTCTCCCCATAATTGGATGACATAAATATATGCAAGAGTCTTTAGTCAGTTAAATTGAAGCGTTAGTATATACTTTTGAATATTGATGGAATTGTGGAAGGCAATAGTCCGTTTTTCACTATTAATATCCTATGGCTATAGATTTACATACAAGTTAACTAGTTTCTCTATTAAGTGGTATTTTTTACATAGCACAGAATTTGAGAGCTTCTGGATGCAGAAAATACAAGGTTCAAACAAAGGAAAATTATATTCTTATTGTATAGATTTTTCCAAAGTCAAAATAGTCTGTTAAATTTGGAAAAAAAAAACTTTATGAAGAAAAAACTTCAACATTTGTGATATATTCTCACTTATAAAAATTATTTCTAAATTTATGATGGTTCTATTTACAGGAACACATCAGTTAGTACTTCATGGATCATTGTTTATAAATCTTATCAAGTTTGAGAAAAACATTTTTCTGTTTTTAAAGAGAGCTAAAAATTAATAGTAGTTATGATAAATAAAAGAACTGGTCACATTTATTTTTATAACAATGCTAAATGTAGATTTAACTGTGAAGAAATATTTTTCCTGAGTCTTCGTTTCATTTAATACCTGGTAATTTATTTCAGGTCAGAATAAAAATGTTACCATGAATGCTATTGGACTACCATAGCATTTTCTAGTCTTTGATATCAAGCATTTATTAAAGACAATATAAATTCTAACACAGTAATATAAGTGGACTGTTATTGGCAGGCAGGTAGTTTGTTACGCTGAAAGATAATTAATAAGCTTCCTGGCAAAGAGAAATCTGTACAAAAATCTTTTGTACAGCATTCTGTACAAACAGAAATCTTTTAAGGTTTTTAATTTTAGGATGTGAGAGAGACTTAGTTATCTTTCTGTGACTAAACATAACATACTAAGCATAAAAGCGCTAATGGTACACAATTTTATCTTCCTAGAGATTAGTTCTGAAGCTATTTTAAAAGTATTAAGTTGATGCAGAGGTAATTGCAGTTTTTGCCATTACTTTCAATGGCAAAGAAATAATATAATCACATTTTCTTTTTCTTTTTTTCTTTTTTTTTTTTTTTGAGATGGAGTTTCGCTCTTGTTGCCCAGGCTGGAGTGCAATGGCTCGATCTCGGCTCAAAGCAACCTCCACCTCCCGGGTTCAAGCGATTCTCCTGCCTCAGCCTCTTCAGTAGCTGGTATTAACAGGCATGCACCACCACACCTGGCTAATTTTGTATTTTTAGAAGAGATGGGGTTTCTCCATGTTGGTCAGGCTGGTCTCGAACTCCTGAGCTCAGGTGATCCGCCCACCTTGGCCTCCCAAAGTGCAGGGATTACAGGAGTGAGCCACCGCACCTGGCCAATAATATTTTCAATGGCAAAGAAAGAATATATTTCTTTCCAACGCTTATTTAATAACTAGTGAACTATAGGTTAAACAATGTCCAACACTGAATAGATCAGAAAAATTATACTTGGTTTTTCAAAAACTATTAATGGAAAGTATATCAAATGAAAAGATAAGGGGTTGACTTTTTCAAAGCTGTACAGTGAATGCTCATCATTTTTTAGGGAGATGATATGCGATCAGTAACTGAAAATTCTGATTAGTTGTCCAAACTTTATTGCGTTTAACTAAATGCAATGTCACTTATTAATAGAAGCCTGGTTGCAGGAAATAAATGCTATGGCAGATTGCTTGAGGGCATGATAGGCTGAGTGTTACCTGTGGAAGAAGGATAATCAGAAAGCGTTCCCTTTAGATTGTGTTCAGAATTGGATTAATGGGAGGGCCAGGTAATCTAGTCTAAAAGTAGTAAAACATTATTGGAACTGTAACACATTAGTAAATTTTATTTACCAAAATTTCTCTTAGAAATTAAAGTAGGAAGGTGGCTGGGAGTGGTGGCTCACACCTGTAATCACAGCACTTTGGGAGGCCGAGGTGAGAGGATCACTTGAGGTCAGGAGCTCGAGACCAGCCTGGCCTACATGGTGAAATCCCATCTCTACTAAAAATACAAAAATTAGCCAGGTGTGATGGTGCACACCTATAATCCCAGCTGCTTGGGAGGCTGAGGCAGGAGAGTCTCTTGAACCCGGGAGGCGGAGGTGGCATTGAGCCACAATCACGCCACTGCACTCCAGCCTGGTTGACAGAGTTATACTCCATCAGAAAGAAAGAGAGAAAGAGAGACAGAGAGAGAGAGAGAGAGAGAGAGAGAGAGGGAGAGAGGGAGGGAGGGAGGAAGGGAGGAAGGGAGGGAGGGAGGAAGGAAGGGAGGAAGGAAGAAGAAGGAAGGAAGGAAGGAAGCAGAAAATAAAGTAGGAAGGTATACTCTGGTGAGCCATTTGGGGTGGGATAGGGTGGGGCGGGGTGAGGCATGAGAACCCAAATGAACATGCTCCAGTAACCAGACAGCTGCTAAACTGCCCTGAGGATAAGTGCAGTTAAGAGCGCTTTGTTTTGCTTAGAGGGTGCTGGTTTGGGGCAAGAGTGAAATTGTTCAGGATACTAGAGAGCCTAACCTGCCACAGCCATCCTCCTCCTAGCCTCCCGTGAAGTCTATGGGATGCCAATTCAGAATACCTGACCAGCTATTCACGTGCCCTTGGTCCACCTCTGAGATCCCTATTGAGTCCTTATAGAATTGCCTTTACTTAACAATGCTTTGGGGGCCATAAGGTATGCTACAAGAAACAGTAAAATGAAACACAATAGTTGACTGTAGGGATGAGGTTAAGAGCAAAGGATCTTTTTCATAAGATCCAGAGGAGGTCTTTTGGGAATCAACTGTAAAGGATATTATGCAACTTGCAACTGGGCATATTTTCTCCTTGGCTTTCGATGTTAGGAAACCTGAGAGACAGATTTGCCATCCAGTTTTTGAAACTGTATAGGCTAAGAGTATGCATTTCTTTTCCTCTTATCTCTAGCTTCCATTCTCTTACCTATTTTTTTTCTTTCCCCTATCTCCAAATTTTTATTTCAATCTTCCATGTGATGAGTATTTTTGATTATTCTCTGTTCTTTGGTAGCACTAGTTGAAGCCCCTGGTTCCAGCATCCCTTGCCTTCCTCTTTCTTAATTTATTCCTTCATTTGATAGAATACCCCCTCCATAGCTTCCTGAGAAAGGGCAAAAAAGAAGCAATTTTTTTGACACCTGGCTTATTTAATATTTTATTTATTCTACCCTCACTCTTGACAGTTTGGCTGGGCATACATAGAAAATTCTCTTTTCTGTGTGGATTGGGCAAGAAAAAGTGGCACTCTTTGTTTCATTATGTTCATAATTTAGCTGCTCTAATACCATAGTACTGGTCAAATTACTTAGCAACTTTAGAAAATCAGAGCAGGCATATGACTTTGAGCCACTGTTTACTGAGATTTATTACTATGTAATATATCCAATTAACACTCTATAAAAGTAAACGTTTGCATTCTTACTTACTTTTTTCAAACATTTAGATATGGATTTTCTCTGTGTTGTTTGTATAACTTCCTTAATCTTTTCCTGTTTTTATTTTTACTTTTTATTTTTGCAGAGAGGGTCTCACTCTGTTGCCCAGGCTGGAGTGCAATTTTGCCACCATAGCTCACTGTAGCTTGAATTGGGCTCAAATGATCCTCCTGCCTCAGCCTTCCAAGTGGCTAGTACTATAGTCGCATGCCCACCATACAAGCTAATTTTTTTTTTTAGATGAAATCTCTCTCCCTTGCCCAGGCTGGATTGTAGTGGCACCATCTTGGCTCACTGCAACCTCTGCCTCCCAGGTTCAAGGGATCCTCCCACCTTGGCCTCCCAAGTAGCTGGGATTACAAGCATGCATCACCATGCCCAGCTAATTTTTGTATTTTTAGTAGAGACAGGGCTTTGCCATGTTGCCCAGGCTGGTCTTGAACTCTTGACCTCAAGTGATCTGCCTGCCTCAGCCTCCCAAAGTGCTGGGATTACAGGCATGAGCCATCTCGCCCGGACTTTTTTTTTTTTTTGTAGAGCCAGGGTCTCGCTATTTTGCCCAGGCTGGCCTTGAACTCCTAGCCTTAAGAGAGTCTCCCACCTCAGCCTCCCAAAATGCTGGGATTACAGGTGTGAGCCACCACACCCGTTCCTTTTCTCTTTTTATTATGAGTGACATATGACAAAACGGCGTATATTGTAGGTTGTAGGATGATGTTACTATTTTTTGGTGTTTTGCCCTCACAATTTACTCATTCATTCATCATTGGTTCAATAAACAATTATCGTCCTCAATTTCTCCATCTTGTTTCATTTTTCTTCATTCCATTGTCACTCTTTCTTTTCTCACTCTGAGAAAATCCAATATATGAAAACCTGCATTTACCCAAAAGAAAAATCAGAGAGTAATTATTCCCCTTGAGCCCACAGGCCAGTTCCAGCCGCCTGCATCTGCATTCTAAAAGGCAATTCTTCTCTACCAGGGACAGGTGTGGTATCCTATTTAAGGTAGTTTCTGAAGATTTTGAGGGTAAAAAGCAGATAAAGAACTGGCATTTCAAAGAGTGATGAGAGCAGAGTACAGTTAAATCATTTAATTAACACTCCAAAGCCTCAGTGCTTCTGTCTCGGGGTTGTTGTTGTCCCCTTTCCTCTCTCTTTACCTTTATGGACGTGTCACTTTCCCCTTCATATTTGCTTTGCCTCCTTTCTCTCTTCCCCACTTACATGGCCACAGTAAAGACTTGAAGTATTCTCTATTTTCACATTTGCTACATTTTATACTTTTTACTTTTAGTTTTCTCCAATTTGCCTGTCATCCTTCTCTGTATCGTTCCAATTTTACTATATGTGCTGCCAAAGCAAGCACTACTTTTAGCTTCCCAACTAGTGAATTGAGACATTTATTATTAGGTTGGTGCAAAAGTAATTGCGGTTTTTGCCATTACTCTCAATGGCAAAATTACTTTGGCAATTACTTTTGCACCAACCTAATCGTTTCAAAATCAAACCAAACCAAACATGAAAGTGCTTTTTATTGCTCCATGGTCCCTAATGAAACTTTTTCTGTGGAATGATAGACATGGACGGGAAAGGATTGCTTTAGGCCCTGCTTACAAGAGCAAACTCCTCAAGTGTGATTTAAATGATTCAATTAAGTGACTGTTTACAAAAGTGAGGCTAGGGTTAAGGAAAACTGACTATAAATGGTGGAACAGCCAGGGAATCCTTAGAGCAAGAAGCCTTTCCACCCCCAGGTCTGAAAAGGCCAGGGGAAAGAGCTCTTCTTAGAAGCCAGAGAGAGCTATAGTTGTGTGGGTAGGGTGGCCTTAGGTAGAGGAGGACAGCCACTGCCAAACCAAGGTTGGCAGAGAGGGAGCCCCAAACTCAGTCTGCTCTGTTTGCCCCAGTGTAGAGAAATTTTATTATAAAAGCCAAAAGACGGAGATTACAATGAGCAGCCTAGCTAATAATCATATAGGGCAATAATCAGGCAGGCCAATCAAGAAAAGGGCCAATCAAGGACCAGGCCCCAGTGGCTCATGCCTATAATCCCAGCACTCTGGGAGGCGGAGATAGGTGGATGACTTGAGTTCAGGAGTTCGAGACCAGCCTGGCCAAATGGCGAAACCCTGTCTATACTAAAAATACAAAAGTTAGCCAGGCATGGTGGCAGGTGCCTGTAATCCCAGCTGTTTGGAAGGCTGAGGCAGGTGCCTGTAATCCCAGCTGTTTGGAAGGCTGAGGCAGGAGAATCCCTTGAACCTGGGAGGCGGAGGTTGCAGTGAGCCAAGATCATGCCATTGCACTCCAGCCTGGGTGACAAGAGCAAAACAGTTTCAAAAGAAAGAAAGAAAGAAAGAAAAGGGCAAGGGTCCCTTGACTCAAGTCCACTACCGGAATGGGTAAAATGACCAGCGGGTAAAGAAAAGAAAGATCTTCAGAGTCAATGGTTTTGGGGAAAGATGAATGAGTCCTTAGATGAATAGATGATGGTTTGTGACAAGGTCTGGGTGTGGTGGACTTCTGGCCTCCTCTCCTGTGATAAGAGTTAATCATCAGAGGTTTGGTAACAATTGACTTCATCTTGCAGGATGTGTCTTTAGGCATATGGAGGGAAACTCAGAGAACCTCTCCATTTTGAAATTTTTCAAGTGCCTTTAGCTCAAAGTAATCAATATACAAAAAAATATATATACCAATATACATATTTTGGGGTGGCATTTCCTGAACTCCTTCAATGGTGCTGGGGTTCAGAAACCAACACCCTAAAGTATGGCACTTTAACATGCTGAACTTCAGATGAAGCCTCTCAAGGTCTCTCTGGCATGCCCCACCCCTCTCCGCACTCTCTCCCAGAGCACAAGGCCAATCTGTTCTCTGAAGTTCCCTGATCTGCCTAAAGTTTGGGTCCACCAAAGAAGAAAACAATTACCTGTGGTCCCTTCCCTGAGTTTTCAGTAACTGAACTCATATCACAGGAAGAAAAACTGAAGTTTGTCAACAAATTTGGACAGACTTTTGTCACAAACCATTGTCTGCTCTGCGGGCCCAACAGACTTTGTCTCAGGCCATTGTATGTTCCTCACGCCTACTGAATTCCCCAAAATTCATTTACTACTACCCTAAAATCATCCACACTTCCCCATCTCCCTTTCTCCTAAGAAGAAGGGTATATACAAGCATCTGTGTCCCATTGCATGGTGGCGTAATCACTCTATGATAGTTCCCCTATGCATGCTAATAAGTTTGTATGCTTTTTCTCCCATTAATCTGCCTTTTGTAAGTTGATTTTCTCCTTATGAAAAGAGAAATATTAAGCTAATTGGGCTTACTTGGTATATTAAATTATACGGGAAGCATTGCCAAATAAGAAGTAAGGCTAAACCTTCTTTGGATTATATTTGTATGAATGTGTTATTAACATATTTCAGAAATTGTGTGAAATTCATAGAAATTTGATAGTTCTGGAATAACATTATCAGTCATAATTCTGGTTACTATCTTAAAATGTTGCATGCAACAGAAATAACCAAATTCCCTTCTCAATTGTGTTATCATCGTAATGAACTCTCATCAGATCTTTAACTATGAACATTTGAAGTCTTGTTATTCTCAGCTGGCAATTGTTTACTGTGGTCTATCTTTTTTCTTTCTCCCCTGTTTCCTTATGTCCTAATTACTTCCTTTTCCTTGCAGGAAAATCCATGGAACCATAATCTATGGATGGCTTTAGGTAAGGCTTATGCTCTAGCAAAAAACCAGAGCAACTGTTAGGCTTATGAAGATAAGCTAGTTTCCACTGAGGAATGATTCCAATGGGGTTCTTGAGGGCTCACTCTTGGCAGTAGTAGTGTATCAGTCATATGGAATTTGAAACCAATCCATAAATTGGGGAAAAATCCTGGACTTTGTGGCTAACCAGAACTCCCAGAGGTTCAAACGGGCAGAAGTCATCCTTTGAGAAAGGTGGATGATGGCATATATACTTTTTTTTTTTTTTTCTGAGATGGAGTCACCCAGGCTGGAGTACAGTGGGGCAATCTCGGCTCACTGCAACCTCTGCCTCCTGGGTTTAAGCAATTCTCTGCCTCAGCCTCCCGACTAGCTGGGATTACAGGCGCGTGCCATCACGCCCGGCTAATTTTTGTATTTTTAGTAGAGACGGGGTTTCATCATTTCGGCCAGGCTGGTCTTGAAGTCCTGACCTCGTGATCCACCCGCCTTGGCCTCCCAAAATGCTGGGATTACAGGCATGAGCCACTGCGCCCAGACAGCATATGTTTTAAGAAAAAACATTTACTGGAACATCATGTGGACTTAGAGCTTCTTTTCGCCCAAATTGGAGGCTTGTATATAGTATTGACAAAACTGAATATTGTGCCTGTCTGTCCCCTAATTTTGTTACTAGAGGAAGCTTAACTAAAAACAAAGGTGAAACTGCTGTTTCTTTAGACACTGCCATCAAATACATGAAGGAAATTTCTTAAGGGAAAGGAACACATGCTGTGTCCATGGCAGCAGCTAACAGTTGGTTTGCAGGAATCCTGAGTGGTGGATGGCAAGCTTGGCTTTTCCAGGGTTTTCTAATCTATGTTCTTCTAGTGGGTCTCCAGGTTACTAAGGCTTGTGTTATCAAGTTAATGACAAAATTGGATACTTATTTAAATCAGATCATTCTATAGCAAGCTGTGGTCCTTAATTTCCATCACACTTTGAATAAGGATTATGGCCAAATGGACTCAAATACTGTTAAGCTGCCTATATTACTTACCTAAGCTTTGACTTGTTTGATTTGGATCAATTTGGTCCCTCAGGGCTCCTGTTAAGGAATACGCTTCATTTTTTGGTGTTATCCTAAATACCAAATCCTATCTAACAGTCATCATGATAGTCCCCTGCTGTGCTGTATCCTCTCAAGTCTTAAATGTTAGTATGCAGCCATCCATTGAGCACTGAATGATCTCACTTTGACTAAATCAGCAAGAACATAATTATTCGACTGATGTGATAACTTGTGAATTCCATATTGAGACCAAGTAAGTCCATTTATGATGGTGACAGACAGTGGCATGAATCAGACATGTTTTTAGAAAGTTTTATTAATTTTATTTAAAATTTTATTTTCAGGAATGGGATTGACTGCAAAGGAGCACAAGGGAACTTCCTGGGGTGATGGAAATGTTTTGTCTTGATTGTGGTAATGATTACATGACTATGTTTGTCAAAATTCCAGAACTTTATACCTAAAAGGGTGAATTTTACTGCATGTAAATTATACCTAAACACATGACTTTTTAAAAAGGCCTGAAATCTTAACTACTCAGCTAAAAATAAAATAAAATAAAATAAACAATTTAGGTGCAAAACAAGTTTTGTTTTTGGGACTGACAGAGGTCCAGTGATTGTATTTATTTATAAAGCTAATAATCCAATCCAATATATCAATATCAATACTTTTAAATAGGATATAAAAAGTTATGAGATTTTTTAAAATAAGGATTTAGACTGCAAAATATTATGACTACAATGTTCCTGAAGCAACACTATCTTAAAAAATATCTCAAACAGAAAATAACACTCTAATGCTCTCAATCATTGCAATAATTGAAACTTCCAGAATATTACCATAATGCTGCTTATATTACATACCCAAAGCCCTGTATTTAATAGTTAAAAACAAAGAATTATTTAATACCAGCTAGCTTCATTACTTGATAGATTAACTTGCTTGACAGATCAACATTACTTGATAGATTACTGGATAGATCAACTAGCTTCCTAAAACATAACTGTAGCTCAGCTTCTAAAAAAGGTGAAAGAAATTATTATATTCAACTGAACTAGATTTTAAAAATAAAGACTATCAAGAACATAGGAAGAGGTAATTAAATGACGGGTCCTCTCTACTAAGGTTTCAATAGAAGCAAATACATCCGAGAAACCATTTACAAAGAACTCACCCTCATAATTGCCTTAGAGACCAAAGTCACAATTTTAAGGCCAAGATCTTTAGAAATCAGATAGGTCAGTGTGACGGTTAATTCTGTGTCAAACTTGACTGGATTATGGGGTGCCCAGATATTTTGGTCAAACATTATTCTGGGGTTATCTTTGTAAGGGTGTTTTGGATGAGACTAACATTTAAATTGACAGACGAAAGCAGAGTGCCTTCTATAATGTAGGTGGGCTTTATCCAATCATTTAAAGGCCTGAATAGAATGAAAAGTTTGACCCTCCCCAAAGTGAGTGAATTCTTCCTACTTTTGAACTGTGACATGGGCTTTTTCCTGCCTTTGGACTTGGACTAGAACTACACCATCAGCTCTCCTAGGTCTCAAGCTTGCTTACTCACCTTGCAGATCTTGGGACTTGCCAGCCTCCATCACTGCATAAGTCAATTCCTTATAATAAATCATATATGTGCACACACAGGCATGCCTCAGAGATATTGCAGGTTTGGTTCAAGACCACTGCAGTAAAGTAAATATCACAGTAAAGGGATCCACACAAATTTGTTGGTTTCTCAGTGCATATATGTTATGTTTACACTACACTGTAGTCTTAAGTGTGCAACAGCATTATGACTTTAAAAAAAGTACACACCTTCATTTAAACATATTTTCTTGCTAAAAAAATGCTGACAGACATAAAGTGAGCACATGCTGTTGGAAAAAACGGTACCAACGGTACCAATTTGTAAATAACACATTATCTGCAAAGTGCAATAAAGTGAGACACAATAAAATGAGGTATGCCTGTATATCCTATTGGTACTGTTTCTCTGGAGAATCCTAATACAACCTGCTTTCAAATCAATTTAAGACCCTCCCCCCATAAGCATTACATTGAGGAAAATGTGGTTGCAACTTTGTCCTACAAATTAGGACAAAGAGACCTTTGTTGCCATATAACAATATTAAAAAACCAGTATGCCTACCTCTGGATGTATTTGCTACAAATACCAGTATTAGATTGTAATTGCCAATCCTTTAAAACCAGTTTTAAGATGGATATAAAGCCCTAAAAATCTTGCAGCTTCCACATGCACATCTGAAAAACTTCCAATTTACAAAGGACATTGTGGTATTTTTGGAAAACAAAGGAAAATGACACATACTAATTTCTGTCATTTATTCACGTCATAATCCCCAAAGCTACCTTTATTCCACGACTCTTTCCACCATTTTCCTACAGTCAGCTTTTTTTAAGGCTATAGCCTTTAAAAACTTGAAACAGAAAATTTTAAGGATGCAACCATTAGAAAATGTTCCCATACTACCATTTAACATTCCCCATTTATCATTATGTTTACTATCGTGTAATTTCCAACATAATATTATGAGGTCAAAGGCTCTACGAACGCCGTTTTACAATCTACCTAGGGAGGCAATGGCTGTGAAACACACCACACCAATGACAGGAATGCGGGTCACTGTGACACAACGGATCCCTCTGCAAAGTCAAAGCTAAGAGTTCACTTTACGCTGACGGAGCTTCTTTCCAGGACCCCCACCCCCACCCAAGGACAGGAGAGTGTCGATTTCCCAAGGTGTCTGGCACTGCTTCTTGAAAACGCAGCTCTCATCTGGTTCCTGGAAGGTCATACTGGTTCGCGCAGGGCTCGGGACGGGGCGCTTGGCTTCTGAGGCACCCGCGCTGGCTCCTCACCCGGTGACCTTCAGGCCTCTGCGCTTGGCCTGACCCTAGAAGGGCCACCGCCCTTCACAGCGGGCGGGCACCGTCCCTCCCACGGCCCCGCCGACTGCTGACGCGGTGGCCCCAAGGGTCCAGGCCCGCACTTGCCCCACTCCCGCGGCGCCGTCCCCCATAGTCGGTCCCCGAGGGCCGCGCCCAGCTCCTGCTCGGATTTCAGCCCGCACCGCACCCCAGCCGCCAGGGAACCTTCCAGAACCCTGCCCCTCTGGCTTTCTCCCGAAAGCCCAGGGTCGCCGTCCAGGAAGAAACTTCGATTCATTTATTGAGCGCCGACTGTGTCCAAGGCCGAGGGAGGGGCGGGGTTTCCACGCGGGGAGACCCCCTAGGTTCTCGCCTCGGTAAGCGCCCGCGTTCCAGCACCTCGAGTCGCCCGCGGGCCCCCACCCCTCGGGCCGGGCCCGGTCCTCGAGGAAAACCCACGGCGGGGCAGGAAGGAACGAGGAGAGCCACGCTCCTTGCCCGCCTCGTCCCCTCCACTCCCCTTCACCTCACGGGACCCCAGGGAAGCCGCCGGAGCTAAAATTAGCAACCCGCGCAGCGCGCGCTCACGTGCGCGCGGCCCGGCGGGGGCGGGGAGCAAGGGGCGCGGTCCGGGTGAGTCACCGGCCCCGCCCCACTCGCCAAGAACGCGCTGACGTCAGCCGCTTCCCCGAAGGGTGACGTAAGCGCGCCACGGGGAGGCCGAGGCAGCTGATAGAATGTTCTGAGTTTCGATGCCTTAAAGGGACCAGGCCTGGGATCGTGAAACATCTGGGGAAACGACTCCACTCACTCACCTGCAGACTGAGAGCCCATCTTGTACCGTGTTATACTTTAAGAGAGTTGACTGTTGAGATGATGATGAAAACGGAAGAACAACTGAGCCTAGTTGGAGGCTCTTTGAAGTCCCAGAACCTCCTCCTGGAAGCCCTCTTTGGTTAACCAGATGGACATCTCAGTTGCCCTCTGAGCCTGAACCAAGTGTCAGGAAGAGTTTTCTATGGCCCTTGACTCCTTAACTCTTTGCTTATAGCGTCTCTGCTCTCTGATGCCTCTGCTGTCAGAGAAAGGCTGTGGTTTAAATATTTATTTATGAATCCATCAGCTTGGGCCAACTAGGTCCATTTATCACCGTTTTGACTGTGTCTAAACTGTCATTAGTGGTGTGACTAGAAACCAGTTAATTTCGCTGGGTGGTAAATTCGTGGACTGATCTCCAAACCCTCCTACTGTGCTAATGTTGCCAATGGAAGTTTCCAGAGGCCAGGATCCCTGGCCAACACGTGATCGTAAACAACATCAGGGCCTCACAGGGAACTCACAATTTACTGAGGTTTGCTCTGTGCCAGGTGTTTTCATGATCCTCCATCCCCTTGTCGTTTAGTCCTCTTCTCTGAGTCCTCCCCATTTTACTGATGAGGACGGAAATCGAGGCACACGATTAAGCGTTTCCCTGGGTCACACAGCTAATGAATGGCGAGCTGGAAGTCAGTCCCAGGTCATCAGACTCCGAAGTCCATGGTTTTGGTGATGAAGGTGGGCTGTGAAATGTGTGTCTTATTCTATGCATGTGAGTCCGCTGGAACCAACTTTTCCACTTGGAACACAATCTCAGTGCCTTTCAGCAGGTAACCGGCGCCAGACCAGATCTCCAGAGATGGAGGTGGTCGGCCTCAGGGCCCAGCCATGAGAAGGTGTATGAGGAGGCATCGCATCAGGCGCCCACCCTGTGCTTGCAGGGCCTGACCATGAGCGCCGCCTTCAGTTTTACACCTTAGGCACCCCACTTGGCTCCCCTTCGTCCCAGCCCTGCCAGACCCACCCTTGACTCTGTGTTTCCTTTCTGGAAACTCGAGAGGCCATTTCTACTTAAAGAGTCCTCACCTGGCCTACCAGCGACCAGATCTGCCCAAGTGCAGAAGAAACACTTGGTTATCTCCTCTTTCATCGTCCCCGCTCGAGCATAAAACAACAGAAAGTTTCCTATCGGAACAGCATGCTTGTGCCAAAAACAAATTAGAAACAACAACAACTTCTCAAAATTTTGAGCAAAATGATGGTGACCGTGTTCTGGAAATGGAGCAAAGTGAGTGAGCCACTGTCACTGTTACATCTGACAATCACTACTGGTACTTGGCTAAATATTGCAGCCACCTCTTCAGGCTACACATGTCAGGTGTACCAGAAGCACCTTCCGCCTCCAGCTCACTTCTGGGAGATATTTAGAGCTGACTCCTCTCCCCTCCCCAGTCTCCAGCCACCAGCAAGCTCTCTCCTTGGTGTCCCCAGCTCCTGCCCCTCATGCTGATAGAAGCATTGCCCGCTGTTCTTCCTGTTCTTACAGGTTTCCTAGTGCCTGTGACCAAACACCTTGTGTGTGCTCCCCAGGAGAGAAAACCGCTAGCAGCCTCAGGTATTGTTGGGGGTGGGGAGGATGGGGGTTCTGTGGGGACAGGAACTTCTTCCTCTGTATTGGGGGTGGACACACACACGGAAACTTAGAGCGGTGTACTACCTCCAGGCCAACCAGGCAAGTCCCTGTTTTATAACTAAGGTCTAGGTGAGGTGGCCTGCCCGGGGTCCCATGGCCTGTTAGGGGTAGAGATTTCTAGTCACTTGACTTCCAGCCTGCTTCTTTTCCATGGATCACACACACACTACTGTTACAAGACACAGGTAGGACAAAGGGCATGAACATGCATGGCAAAATGAACATGCACGGCAAATGGGAACATGTCATATATACAATGGAAGGGAAGACAAATGACATGAAGTAAATATAGACATGAAATCATAGGGAAGAATTGGAGATCACGATTTCTGATGACCACCAGCTATTCCCACTTCCTCTTTGCTTCTCCCTCCCACCTTGTTTGAAGACAGGTGAGGAGTTGTTCCTCCTCAGACCCAGGAATCATTTCCCAGTGGAATGACACGGTGAAGTGGATCGCCATTTTTAAACCTTCAATAATAAAGATCTTGTGTGTCATTTCAGTTTTAATTTTTTATCGTCCAGTCTTTACTCTCCATCATTTCTTTATCCCAGAAGCCCCATTAAATGTCATTAAGAGCCATAAATGTAACTGGCCACTAATGTGGAAGGATTGTGATCTCCGGCAAACAGCCCCGGCAAGCAAAAGAACAGGAATCCTGGGTCAGTTTCCAACTGTGCCTGTGACTCACTGTGTGACACAAAGCAAAGCTCCACTTTTGCGGAGGGAGAGCTGTGGGGCAGCGAGACACACATAGCCTGGGCCCTGACAGAGGTGGAGGGGTTTCCCTGCATGCAGGAAGCTCAGGGGTCCCTGTTGGAATCCAGTTCCATAGTAACTCCTTAGTAATGGCCATGAGCTGTGCCTCCAATGGAGACACTACCATGGCTTGGACTGGATTGTGGCACTTGCCCTTCGTGACATCATTCTCATAGGTTAGGAATGCACCCTGATTATTTCTAACTCCACTTTAATAACTTGTTCTGGATCTGCCCTCCAGGAATTTATTTGAAACTTTCTTTATTCTATTTATATTTCAGCCTGTACAGCCTTTTCAGGCAACAAGTAGATTTACCATTTATGTAAAAACACTTAATTCTAAAACACAGGAAGTGCTGCATAATGGTTTGTTATAATAATCACAATAATTTGATATCTATATTGTTATACATAACAAATATTATATTATAGTTTGATGATAATTATTCATGCAGATGGCCTCACAGGCTTCATATTTTCAGTCACTCACTATCTTTGTGTTTATCCCCTCACCCACCTCTCCCCAACCCCAATCAAAAAGTATCTCTTGGCTGGGTACAGTGGCTCATGCCTTTAATCTCAGCACTTTGGGAGGCTGAGGCAGGAGGATTGCTTGAGCTCAGGAGTTTGAGACCAGCCTGGGCAACATAGTGAGACCTCATCTCAATTTTTAAAGAATTTTTTTTTTTGAGATGGAGTTTTGCTCTTATTGCCCAGGCTGGAGTGCAGTGGCATGATCTCAGCTCACCGCAACCTCTGCCACCCGAGTTCAAGCTATTCTTATGCCTCAGCCTCCCGAGTAACTAGGATTACAGGCGTGTGCCACCACGCCTGGCTAATGTTGTATTTTTAGTGGAGACGAGATTTCTCCATGTTGTTTAGGCTGGTCTCGAACTCCAGACCTCAGGTGATCTGCCCACCTTGGCCTCCCAAAGTGCTGGGATTACAGGTGTGAGCCACCACGCCTGGCCAGAAATTGTTTTTAAGTGTCATAGTGAAGATGAGGGGCGGGGGAAGCATTTATTAATGGAATTAGGTGCTGTAATGGGTGCAACTCTGTGCAGAAACTTACCTAAACAGATTCAATGTCCTCTAAGGACTTGTTATCTAAGATCAACATATGGTAGGTGCTTGTCTTAGTCAATTTGGGCTGCTATAACAAAATACCGAAGACTGGGTGTTGTAAACAACAGATATTTATTTCTTACAGTTGTGGAGCCTGGGGAATTCAAGATCAAGGTGCTAGCAGATTAGTGTCTGGTGAGGACCGGCTCCCTGGGTTGCACACCTGCCTTCTTGCTGTGTCCTCACGTGGCCTTTCCTTGGTGGTGTGCCTGTGAAGAGAGAGAGAGCTCTCCTGTCTTTTCCTCTTCTTCTAAGGGCACTAATTCCATCATGAGGGCACCATCCTCATGACCTAATCCAAACCTAATGATCTCTCAAAGGCTGCACCTCCAAATACCATTATACTTCGGGTTAGGGCTTCAACATACAATTTTGGAGGAGACACAAACATTCATCCCATTTATTTGGTGCTCAATAAATATTGGATGTATGAATGGATGGAATAAAAAAAGATAAACCTGTGTGGTAATTGGATAGAAAACACATGGACATACAGTCATATGCCACATGACGTTTCAGTCAATAATGAACCGCGGATATGAGAGGAGTCCCAAAAGATATAATGGGCCAGGAGCTGTGGCTCACACCTGTAATCCCAGCACTTTGGGAGGCCAAGGCAGGCAGATTAGTTGTGGTCAGGAGTTCAAGACCAGCCTGGCCAACATGGTGAAACCTTGTCTCTACTAAAAATACAAAAATTAGCTGGTCACAGTGGCACATGCCTGTAATCTCTGCTACTTGGGAGGCTGAGGCAGGAGAATAGCTTGAACCCAGGAGGCGGAGGTTGCGGTGAGCTGAGATCGCACCATTGCACTCCAGCCTCGGCGACAAGAGTGAGACTCTGTATCCAAACAACAACAAAAATCAAAAAAACAAACAAAAAGATATAATGGAGCTCAAATAATCCTGTCATCTAGTGATATAGTTGTCATAACATAGTAGTAAAACATATTAACTTTTTTTTTTTTTTTGAGACAGGGTCTCACTCTGTCACCCAGGCTGGAGTGCAATGGCACAATCTCAGCTCACTGCAACCTCCACCTCCTGGGTTCAAACGATTCTCCTGCCTCAGCCTCCTGAGTAGCTGGGATTACAGACACCTGCCAACACGCCAAGCTATTTTTTGTATTTTTAGGAGAGATGGGGTTTCACCATGTTGGCCAGGCCAGTCTCGAACTCCTGACCTCATGATCCGCCTGCCTCAGCCTCCCAAAGTGCTGGGATTACAGGCGTGAACCACCGCACCCAGCCAACCTATTAACTTTTTTATGTTTAGATACGTTTAGATACATAAATACTTACCATTGTGTTACAGTCGCCTACAGTATTGAATACAGTAACATGCTATACAGGTTTGTAGCCTAGGAGCAATAGGCTATACCATACAGCCTAGGTGTGTAGTGGGCTATACTACCTAGGTTTGTGTAAGTACACTCTATGATGTTGGCACAACAATGAAATCACCTAACGATACATTTCTGAGAACATATTCTTGCTGTTAAGTGACGAATGACTGTATATGACATTCTGGCAAAGGCAAAACTATGGAGACTAAAAAGATCAGTGGTTACCAGGGGTTGAGGAGTGGGGGTGATGAACAGGTGGAGCACAGAGGGTTTTTGGGCCAGTGAAACTATTCTGTATGATACGATAATGGTAGATACTTGTATTTAAAAATCTGCCCGAACCCATAGAATGTACAACACCAAGAGTGAACCCCAGTGTAAACTATGGATTTCAGGTATTAATAATTTGTTAATTAGGTTAATTGATTGTAACAAACGTGCCAGTCTGGTGGGGGCTATTGATAAAGGAGGTGGCTATACAAGTGTGGGAAGAGGAAGTATATGGGAAATTGAGTACTTTCCACTCAATTTTGCTGTCAATCTAAAACTGTTCTACACAATAAAGTTGATGTTTAAAAAAGCCAAGTGATGTGGTAACACCTTTCTGTAGAGTTCATTCCGCTGTAGCGTCACATAGATTTGGGCTGGAATCTGAGCCAAGCCCTGTAACCTGGGGAAAGTTACTTACCCCTCTAATCTTAGTTTCTCTAACTTTATAGAGATTGTAATGCCTTCCTCAGAGTGTTTTGAGAACTAAATGCAAAACTGTATGTAAAGAATCTAATCCAGCACCTGGATATACAGCATGGTAAATATATACAGGCCTCCCCGTTCCTCCCTATGACTGTGATTCTTATCTCTTCTGATGGCTACTATTTTCAAAGTCAGCCAGGGGAAGAAAGCTGTCTTCTACTAGGTGAAAGTGTCTTCTACTAGGAAAGGAATCTGTGCATGGGGGCATGTGTGTCCTCAGTTGCTCATGTGTGTCCCCAGAGGTGCTGGCTACAGAAGGCCAGACATGCACTGGAGCCCCAGATCAGTGTCAAGCCCCTCACTCAGCTTTCTCCCGTGAAAAGGTCAGGATGATGGAAGGCTGTCATATTTAGATGATGGCTCGAAGGGAAGCCTCGGTGGGTTAGTCACCTATGATATGACATCATATGGCCACTCAATATAGTAACAGCTGTTGGTTGCTTTGTGGGGCGGAGGTGGGGTTAGCTTCAGTTGACCAACCATGCCTTGAGGATAAATTGGATGGGATCAGATGGGAAGATGTGACAAGAAGAGAAATCCTCCTCTATATAGGATGCTCTGCTGTTTCCTAAGGATTTTCAGCACCTTGCCCCAAAATGTGAGTCTTGACTTTTTCTCTGGCTTTGGGGCTAAGTGGGAAAAATGTTACAGGAGAAAGGTGTTTGGTCAGGAAGCCTCCAGTTGGGGGAGTACCCACTGTGGCCCTGCTGGGTGGGTGCCACCCAGAAGAGGGGTGGGAAAGTGAGCAGTTCGGTGCATATGGTACCCAATGAAGTGATCTGAGGGATAGGGATCGAAAAGTCCTGGAGTTAGGGTGCTGCAGAATCTCTAGGTTGGATTAAGTTTTTTACTGACCCCTCTGCAGGTTACATAACACCTGTGGGACGACCTGTGGCATCCCAGTGAGGCAGCGATGCCATCTCGGTCTCATCCAGGATGAAACCGTGGTTTGGGGATACCACTAGTCAGTGCTGTAGTCAATGTAGGGCATTGATTACTCATAATGGGAAGCCATTGGAGTTGGTTAACCCCTTCCTTCTAGTGTGTTCTCCTCCTTGACATTCCTGCCTGTTCTGGGGCCCTTGTGTTTTGGGAATAGAATGCTTTGTATCAGCAGTGTAACATGGATAGGTTAACTGGATATGGGCTGGATATGGGGAGAGCTGGTTCTTCCTGTGTTTAAACTGGAATAAGTCCAGAGTGAGGAAGTAAAGAGGTTAGAGAGGAAAAGCCCTGGAGTGAGGGTCAGGAGATCTTGTTTGGCAGCTGGTTCTGCCAAGTAAAAGCTGTGTGACCTTGGGCAAGTCATTGTTTCTCTTTAAGTTTTGGTTACTCCTCTCATCTGTAAAAACATGTGCACTTGGGGTTCTTCCAGCCCCACTAGTCCTCTTCTGTCCTTTAAGTGTGGATCTGTGGTTCTGTTGTTGGCACACCAGAAAGGGCACAAGTTTGAGTGTCTGGCTCTGCCATTTGCTGTGCGACCTTGGACAAGGACACCCCTTCTCTGAAACTCAATTTTCCCATTTATAAAATATGGGTTATTATGAGACATCAGTGAGGATGAAGCTGAGAGCCTTTTCAGAGGCACAATGTGGATGTAAAGCAACACCCTGAGTTTGGACAGGGCAGGTGGGGTAAGGCAGGCTGAGGGGTGATGTTTGGGGTTACTGGCAGGTTGAACTGTGACCAGGGCATAGAGGGGGTGGAGGTCACGGTCAGCTGTGCCATAGAAACCTCCTGCCCTGTCCTGCTCAGTTCCTGTTCCTTTCCCAGCAGCCGAGGAAGGGGAAACAGTTGAGAGGTTATAAATGACGCTGAAAACAGCTCACAAAAGTGTCTGAGGGGGTCATGCTGCTGGAGCAAAGCACGCGCTGGGAAGCCCATCCAGGGTCTGGGGACCCCTGAAAATTGAGCAGCCTCCTGGTTCCTATTGGTGCCCAAGAGGATGCACCTCCTGCACTGCTTGGCATCACTTCCTGGGAAAGTAAAACCTCGTACGGCGAGTAATGGATCACAACTGAACAGTGACCAGAGTGACCTGTCTCGAGCCATCTCTGAGGGAAAGTCACAGATTCCCTAGAGAAAGTCTCCAAATTCCTGTTTATTCTTCACATAAACAGATTAACCTAGGGGTAGCGATTTTACTTAACTCTTCCTTTCATGTTGCAGCGAAAGCGAAATTGGCCACTTCTTTGAAGCTGTTCTTTGAGCCATAAATATAATTTCTCTTCCCGCCCACAGAAAGGGGTTTTCTTTTTCTTTCTTTCTCTCTTTTTTCTTTTTTTTTTTGAAGCCCCAGGCACTGAGACGTTCAGAGGTTGGCAGGAGGTGCAGCTGCCGTAGGAGCAGCATGCTGTCCCCCTGCTGACTCATCTGACATTAACATAATTATGTTTCAGAAGTCAAAGTGATTTTCAAACTATGAGTAATGCAGGGTGTTAGAGAGAGTGTTTACACGGCAGTGGGCATTTCAGCACACTCAAGAAACC
Source organism: Homo sapiens (assembly GCF_000001405.40). Taxonomy (NCBI): domain Eukaryota; kingdom Metazoa; phylum Chordata; class Mammalia; order Primates; family Hominidae; genus Homo; species Homo sapiens. Next base: position 212,567,375 of record NC_000001.11, read on the forward strand.
AGCTGCTGTTAACAGCTGCAATGAGTGAAGAAATAAGAAAATGCTCTCAGGAAAAACAGCCCTTCTCTCTTGTCTCTGTTTCTGTGCAAAGGATTCAGATGTCATGAAAGGCAGGTGAACTTAAGAGTTCCCTGAGGACCAATCCAGATCTAGCATTGTTATCTGAATGCCTTGATGTCTGATCTTTTTATAGGGAAAAAAATGTCTTTATAGCTTATTTTCCATTTACTCAACTCTAGGGAAAGGTGGATTTAAAGAGCTTAGCAAATTATTTATTTTTTATAATGCTACCGGTGTTAATAATTATAATAATAGTCTAAGGTTGTGCTGCTGCTTCTAAAATAGGAACAAGGACAAAAATCATTTCCCCCAGTTTTAAAGATGGGGGCAGAAGCCCATGGGGAGGGGGACTGGGAAATGTCTTCTTAAAGCTCCTTTGTCTCATTATTATGGGAAAAGTTCTGAGAGCCGTGGAGTGCAGTGTGCCAAGTATTTAGACCTCAGGAGAGAAAAACTGGGCTCCAGTCCTGTTCCAGAACTGAATATTGGAATGGGAATGCCTCAATTTCCTCATCTCATAATGAGAATATTAATAACACTTTCTTTGCCTATGTCAGAAGAAGAGCCTTGAACTTTTGTAGGGTAGGGACAGGGTCTGCCGACTATTATAGCCCCAGTTTCTAACTTAGAGCCTGCACATAGAAGGTGCTCAGTAAGTATTTGCAGAATTAATGAATGAGATAAAAGCTATAAACGCCAGAGCTCTGCTCTTGTGGTTTGTTACTGCATCTAGCAAGGTGTCATTCACATGGAGAGTGGTCAATAATTTTTTTAATGTGTTAAGAAAAAAATCATGAACTAATTATACATTCACTTATACATAAGTTATTCATAAACAAATTGGTTATTATTTTGGGGCTACCAAGCTGAATTACACACAAAAATATTTCTGTTTACTTAAGAATGTCTTTAATGACCAACACAATTTTATTAAGCCTCGTCTCTTGAGTATATATCCTTTGCATGCTCCACATTTGCATCATGGAAAAAGGAGCCCCAGAGAAAGAGCACACCAAAAACATCGACCTACCCTGAACTAAGGGGCTCAGGCGTGTTTTTGTGGACTACTTGTATTGAGTGATCTCTTCCTCCTGGACCCATTAATAATTATTGTTAGGCTTACTTCAAGTAGTAAATTTAAGCCAGTCCATTCATGGCAAATCAATCCAAAATGGCCATTAAGGAGAGTCAGGATCTGTGGTCCCATCCCAAATATTTGAAGATGATGCCAGAAAGCAAATTTAGTGTGTCCTCCTGGTGACTGTCATTTGGTATTTCTGTCCTAGGCCGATTCTCCGATGGGGGTAAATACAGGCTAGGGCATTTCTAATGTCTAAACCTCCACTGCTCTCTTTCTCTCAAAATTGCCTGTCCAACACAGTCATAATTTCACCTCCCCAACTCCGTCGTTACTGTAGGTTTATTAATGTTTGTTGGACCGGCATCCTAATTTGGGTGTGGGTGACTATTCCTTAAGGCATCTCAAGTAAAAAGGCTCCTTACTTCTGATCCTGGTTTATTTATTTTAAAAATACTTGTAAATTTAATATTAATTTAATAGGGTTTTTAAGTTAGTAGCAGGTTGCTGAAGGATCTAAATGTTTAACATATATTCTAAAATAAACATTGGCTGTTTAGAGCCCTTACAGAATAAACTTATTTGAATTTTTCCCCTGGCACCCTTTTCTTTATTTCTTCTACTCTTTCTTCCTTTCCTCTTTTCCCATCTCTCCCTCCGTCTTTTTCCTCCCTGCCTTCTTTTCTTTTTATTATCTTGTGTTTCATTTGTTTCTTTGTTGCTTTTGGTAAACGTCTTTCTAAAAAGTATGTCTGGAAAGAGATAAGAGAAACTGATTAAAGAGCCTAGGACGAGGTAGAGAGACTTTTCATCATATACACTTTCTGACTTCGAATTTTTAATAGTGGCAATACTTTTTCCCCAATAAAAAAGTTAACCAGAACAGAGTTGTACACCCTTCTTGTTTTCATTTTTCCACTTTTCTAATGCGAGCCTATTTCCTCCTTACTAGGATGAAAGACAGGAATGGCTTCCAAAGGAAAATGGGGAGAAGAGAAAGGAGACAGTAGACAGAAGCTCAATGCCTGTGTGTCCACAGTGGAGACGCAGGGGAAAGAGCTAGTGTAATAGAACCAGTAAATTTTTTTTTGGCTTTTTTTTTTCACTCGAAATGTAAACATCTTCCCACTTCATTCTTTCCACCTCATAAGAATTCTTCTTCTTCTACAACATAATTTTTAATGATTGTACAGGAGTTCCAATTAATGTAATTTTTTTAATGTAGTTTACCTTACTAATACTCTATGTTAAACATTTGGGTAATATCTGATTCATCAATATTGTAAATAGTACTGTAATAAACATTATTGTAGCTAAATCTATGTTCATGGCAATTCTTATTTACTTTAAATATATTTCCTCAAAAAGAATCAACATATTTCTCAAAAATAAATAAACCAAATAATATATGAATCATAGTCTTTGATATATGTTGCTCTTGATGTAATTTTAATTTCTATAGACACAAAGAAATTTTCCACATGTTTGTTAACAGGTTTATTTTCTGTTTATGAATCTTCTGTTCAGAGCCTTTGCCTGTACATCTGTTGGAATCTTAATATCTGCAGTGATTTAAAATGTTTTATAATATGTAAAATATACCAACAAAGACCTCCCTATCTATTATTTTTTTAAAGTAATAATAATTCCCTGGCTTGACATTTACATTTGAATGTAAGTTATATTTATATATTTTTGGCACAGAGAGATTTTAAGATTTAAAGCAATCGAATCTGTCAATTTTTTTTTCTGGAGAATTACTTTTTCCACTTAGAACTTTTAAAATTATTTCATATTTTCTTCTAATAGAAAACAGCCTTTTAAAGGTAAAATTTCCATATTTTATGTAATTACAGGGAAATGCACAAATCTTAAATGGATCATTCAGTAAGTTTTGACAAATGACAGATGCATATGCCTAGCAAGATATAAAACTCAAAGGGTATGACTTTTTCAGGTGATGGTTGCACATATCTATGAGGATACGAAAAAACAATGAATTGTACACTTTAAATAAGTGTGTTATATAAATCATATCTATAGACTTTTTTAAAAAATGGAAATTACCATCATCCCGGAAAGCTCCCTCGTGTTCTCTCCCAGCTGGTCCTCACTCCTACTCTACCCATATAGGCAACCACAGATTTTAGTTTTTTCATCATTAGTTTGGTCTGTTTTTGACCTTTATATGGAATGGAGTCACACAGCATGAACTCTTTTGCATAAGGTTTCTTTGACAGCATAATGTTTTTGAAATTCATCTGTGTTGGTGAGCTTCAGGAATTTGTGTCTTTGTTACTAAAAGTAAGCTTTCATTATAGTATGTCTATATGACAGTTTATTTATTCCTCTATTGATAGACACCTAGGCTGTCCCCAGTTTGGTGCCATTATGAATAATGAAACTATGAACATTGTTGTAAATGTCCTTTTATAGACATATGCTTTCATTTTTCTTGGATAAATACCTATGGGTGGAATTGCTGGGCATAGGATAGATGTATATTTCATTTTATAAGAAACTACCAGCCTTTTCTCCAAAGGTGTTATACCATTGTACACTCCCACCAACAATGCATGAGAATTCAGTTGCTCCAAATTTTTGTCCACATTTGGTGTTGTCAGACTTTTCTATTTTAGCCATTCTGTTGGGTGTGCAGTGGTAGCTTATTGTAGTTTAAATTTGCATTCCCTTGATAAAGTTATTGAACATTTTTTCATGTGCTTCCGGTTTTTCTTTATTTTATTTTAATGTGTATGTATTTTACATCTAACTATATCTCTTTATCCATCAAAAGTTATTTTGATTATGATTTGAGGTAAATCTCTAAATTAATTTTTTTCTAAATAATCAGTTAACCCAGAACAATGCATTAAATAATACTTTTATTATTATTACTATTATTATTTTTTGAGATGGGAGTCTCACTGTGTTGCCCAGGCTGGAGTGCAGTGGTGCGATCTCAGCTTACTGCAACCTCCGCCTCCCAGGTTCAAGCAATGCTCCTGCTTCAGCCTCCTGAGTAGCTGGGATTACAGCCACCACCACGCCTGGCTAGTTTTTGTATTTTTTAGTAGAGATGAGGTTTCATCATTTTGGCCATTTTCTTCTGGTCTTGAACTCCTGACCTCAGTTGATCCACCCACCTTGGCCTCCCAAAGTGCTGGGATTACAGACGTGAACCACCGCGCCCAGCCAATACTTTTTTTTTTTTTTTGAGACGGAGTCTGGCTCTGTCGCCCAGGCTGGAGTGCAGTGGTGCAATCTCGGCCCACTGCAAGCTCCGCCTCCCGGGTTCACGCCATTCTCCTGCCTCAGCCTCCTGAGTAGCTGGGACTGCAGGAGCCCGCCACCAGGCCCGGCTAATTTTTTCGTATTTTTAGTAGAGACTGGGTTTCACCATGTTAGCGAGGATGGTCTCGATTTCCTGACCTCGTGATCCGCCCGGCTCGGCCTCCCAAAGTGCTGGGATTACAGGCGTGAGCCACCGCGCCCGGCCGCCAATACTTTTATTCTCTGCTAATTTGTGATGCTTTATTTACCATAAAGTTCTCATATGTACAGTGGTCTCAGAATATCTATTCTATGTCTTGATATGTACATTTTTACACTTGTTCTTTTGCAAGTTCCATACTCTTATCGATACTTGCTTTTAAAAATGATTTAAGAGCTGGCAAGGCCCCAGTCTCATCATTCCTTTTCATGTTCAACATTTTCTTTGTTGCCGGGCGTGGTGGTTCACGTCTGTAATCTCAGCACTTTGGGAAGCAGAGGCGGGCGGATCCCCTGAGGTAGGGGGTTCGAGACCAGCCTGACCAAGATGGAGAAACCCCCATCTCTACTAAAAATATAAAATTAGCTGGGCATAGTGGCGCATGCCTGTAATCCCAGCTACTCAGGAGGCTGAGGCAGAGAAGGATGGCTTGAACCCGGGAGGCGGAGGTTGCAGTGAGCTGAGATTGCACCATTGAGCTACAGCCTGAGCAACAAGAGTGAAATTCAGTCTCAAAAACCAAACAAAACAAAAAACATTTTATTTGCTGTTCATACTTAATTATTATTTTGGTTGAACATTAGAATGATTTTGTGAAATTCTGAAAAGAATACTATTGAGATTTTTATTGAAATTATATTGACCATTCAAATTAATTTGCAAAGCACTGACTTCGTTGCCATAAAGCTTAGTATTCAAACCTGCATTTCCCAATAGCATTTTATAATTTTTTCATACGGGTCCTTCGCATTCTCATTATAGCTTTTCCAAGGCATTCCATAGAAGTTTCCAATGTCATCATTGTTGATATTTGCTGTTGTCATTTTATCTTTTCTAAAAGTTGTATTTTCTAATTGGATAATAGTTCTATATAGAAAAGCAATGTAGCAAATTTCTACATACAAATTTTTATACAGACAATTTGTATATACAAAAGGTACTTGGCTTTTGTGTCTTTTTTATATTTAGCAGTTTTCTTGGGCTCTCATATCGATTCTAATAATTCTTAGTTGAATTGTTCTTTTGAATTTCCGGGAATGTAATTATATCATGTACAAGTAATTGCAAATCTATTTTCTCCCTTCCAGTGTTTGTGCATCTTATTTTTATAAGTGCCCTATTTCATTGGTTAGAACTTTCAGGTCAAAATTTAGTAAAAATGGCCACAAACTATATCTTTGTTTTGGTCCTGATTTTAATAATATTGCCTTAGTATTTCATCCTTAAAGATGACTTTGACTGTTTGAAATAAACACTTTTTGTTATGTTAATAAAAGTTCTTAAATTTGTAATTATTTTTTAATAGGGACCAGCTGTTGAATTCTAATGTATTTCCTGCATTAATTGAGAATCTTATTTGGATTTTCTTTTTTAGCCTGTGGATGTAATATATTATACTATTGGATTTTAAAGATCTTAAAACATAAAATCTTTTTATTTTAGATTAAACCCTCCTTGGGTTATTTTGATACTGTTATCTGAATTTGGATTTTCTTTTCTATGTTCATAATTTAGATAGGTTTATTATCTTCTTTTTTTGAGCTGTCTTTTTCAGGGTTTTATATCAGGGTCATCTCTGTTAAGTAAATTAGATAGATTTTCCATATTTGTCAATGTTTGAAATTACTGAAACATAGTGATTACGTATTCCTTAAGAATTGAAAGATTTTTTTCCTGTAAAGTTTTCTAGGCCTAGACACATTTTTTTTCCTGGAGGGAAATCTTTCCTTTTTTTCTAAGTTCTTCAGCCGTGATTGGCATATGTAGGTTTTATACTTCTAATTTTGATAATGTATATATTTTCAGACTATTCATTTCATCTAGGTTTTCAGATTTATAATTTATAATTTTGCAAAGTATTGTCTTATATTTAAAATATCTCCTCCTTATCTGGTGCTGAACCTCCCCTTTTTATTTCTAATTTTATTATTCATAGGGTTTTTTTTTCTTCTTTAGTTTCTCTAATATTTGTCTACTTTATTACTTTTTAAAAAAAGTGCTCTTGAATTAATTCCGTAAGTTTTCCTATATCCTAATTCAGTTAGTTTTGGTTTTGCCTTTAGTCTTTTCTGTCTACTGATTTCTTAGGGATTTTGTTGTCATTGTTGTTTTTATAAACCCTTGGGTTGAATGCTTTTATTTTTCCTTTCCTTGAAAATAAAAACAAATAAGATTGTAACTTCAACTTTTAGTACAACTTTCATATTTTCATATTTTCTTAGTACAATATTTCATACCTTTTGATATATTGTGCTCTTATTTTAATTATCTTCTAACTGCTATGTTCTTATACTTTAATTTCTGTTTTAATTTTCTGTCCTTATATTTAATGATTTTTTGTTTTAATTTCTATTATTAATAGCTAGTTATACTGCACTGTGATCAAATAATCAAGCTTATATAATTTTTGTTTCTTAAAATATCTCTCATTTTGGTATATTCATCACAAATGCTTTCTCCTGTTCTATAATATCTTTTCATTTTGTTTGTGTTGTCTTTTTTAACACATAGTTTTTTTCTCTTAATGTAATCAAATATATCCCTCTTATTTTATTGTTTGTATGTTTGTATCTTATATAAAATATTTCTGCACTTGATGATAATGAGTGTATCTTCCTATATATTGTTTTTTCTCAAGGTTGCAAAGTTTTGCCTTTCACATCTGTGTCTTTAATCTTTATGGCTGATGTGAGTGAGAATCTAATTTAACTTACTCCCATATGGATAACCAGTTGTCCCAGTCTCATGAGTTCCTCCCATTGCTTTGTGAGGCTATTTCAGTCATGTACAGAGCTTCCTTGTGTATATAGGTTATTTATGGGCTTTTGTTCGGTTCCATTAATCTATTTCTATTCCCTATGCCAGTACTACCACAATCTTTTCAATAAGTCTAAATATCTAACAAGACAAGTCCTGCTACCCTATTTTCTTCTTCTTCCAAATTTTCTTGGCTCTTCCTGGCCCATTCACATGAATTTTAGAATTAGCTTCTTAAGAATTGTGCACACACACACACGCATTTTGAAGATTTTTAATATGAAAATTTCATCAAATCTACAAATAAATATGGAGATGGCTAATATTTTTATGGGAATCTTGCATGATACCACGACACCAGAGGTGCCACCAAGATGACTAACATTTTTATATTACTGAGTACTGTAATCAATAAACATAGTAATTCTCTCCATTTATTTAGGTCTTCTTGTATTTTATTCAATAATACTTTCATAGTTTTCTTCTTTGAGGTCTTTCATACCTTTTAACAAATTTATTTCTAGGTGCCATGTAATTTCTGTTACTATTATAAATGGGATTTTTTCAATTATATTTTCTAATTAGTTATTACTATTAAGAATGCTATTGATTTTTGCATGTTTTTTGTATCTAGCAACCTTTGCTGGACAGTTTTTAGTTCTAAGAGTATGTGAATGTTCTTGACTTCTTTATGTAGACAATCACATTTTCAGCAAACGAAAACAGCCTCTAATCTTTCTCTTTTTCCATTGTTTTATATTACATCAGTTAAGAACTTCAGTATAATGCTGAATAGAGGCTTATAACTTATAGCCTTCTGTAATTTCTGACTTTAATGAAAATGTCTCTAAAATAGTACCAATTAATATAATATTTGCTTGTAGAGTTTTGATGTATAGCCTTTGTCAGGTAAGGAAAGTTGCCTTCTATACCTAGTTTGCTAAGATTTTTAAAACCACGAATGAATGCTATATTCTGTCAATGCCTTTTCTGCATTTCTTGAGATACTAAAAAGATAAAAGATAAAGGAAAAAGGCCTTTCTTTTTAATTTGTTAATTTAATAAGTTTTCAAATCTTGAATTATTCTTTCATTCTTGAGATGAAATTCCACTTGGTCAAGATATTTTCTTTAAGATTTTGTATCTACATGAAAAATGAGATTAAGTTATAATTTTCCTTATTTGGATTGTCCCTGTCTGGCTTTAATATCTCAAAAAATAAGTTCGGAAATTCTCTTCCTTTTTCCTCCTACCCTCTGAAAGAATTTTTGTCGTTTAAAGCAGGGCTTATCTATTTCTTAAAAATCTGGTAAATGTTTGGGCCTGATGTCTTTGGAGATGGAAGAACTTTTGATTAATAATTTAATTTCTTTAGTAGCTAAGGCTTAGTTCTGGTTTTATCTGAATAAATTACCAAATTTTATTTTTTTCTTGAAAATTATTTATTTTTCCTAAGTTTCCATATTTATTCAGATGCAGTTAATAGTATTCTTTATGTATTTTAAAATCTCCACTGTATCTATTTCTATCCCTTTTTATTGCCACTTTCTGTTTGTGTTTTTCTCATTTTTATTGATTGGTTGAGCTCAGGGTTGATCTTTTTCTGTAAGTTGTTTCAAAAAACTAACTTTGTGTTTTATTCATCTTCCCTAAATATAATTTCTTTCATTCTTCTCTTATATTATTTTCTTATTTCTAGTTTAGATTTCTCTATTGTGCTTGCCTAGTTTCTTAAGTTGAACACTTTACTTATTTATTGTGCTGTTTTTATTTGTTTATTCATTTTGCTTTTACTGATTTTTTTTCTTAAGTAGAACTCTACTTGTCCTTTTGACCACAGCAAGGACCTCAGCACTTTTTGATTACATGTGGACCCTGTTCCCCATCTTATTTTTATTCCAGAGTTAAAGTTTTTAAAGATAAAAAAGTTATTAAAAAATATTCTTTTCTTTTCTTTTCTTTTTTTTTTTTTTTTTTTTTTTTGAGGCAGAGTCTCGCTCTGTCGCCCAGGCTGGAGTGCAATGGTGTGATCTCGGCTCACTGCAACCTCCGCCTCCCGGGTTCAAGTGATTCTCCTACCTCAGCCTCCCGAGTAGATGGGATTACAGGCACGTGCCATCACACCCGGCTGATTTTTTTTTTGTATTTTTAGTAGAGACGGGGTTTCACCACGTTGGCCAGGATGGTCTCCATCTCTTGACCTCGTAATCCACCCGCCTTGGCCTCCCAAAGTACCGGGATTACAGGCGTGAGCCACCGAGCCCGGCCCAAAATAAAATATTCTTTAGTAGTTCTTTAAGTGACAGTCTGTGGTTGGTAAACTCTCTTCATCGTTGGATGCCTGAAATTCTTTATTTTTCAGGGTATAGAATTTGAGACTGGTATTTATTTTCCCTCTGCACTTTGAACATATTACCCTTATTATCTCCTAGAATCTATTGATGTCTATGAGAAGGCTGCTGTCAGACTAATTTTTATTCCTTTGTAGGTAAATTCATTTATCTCTTTAACCTTTTTTTAACTGACAGATAAAATGATATATATTTATAGTGTTCAATGTGATTTTTAAAGTAAAATTATAACATGGAATGACTAAATCTAGCTAATTAACGTGTACATTACCTCACATAGTTATCATTTTTGTGCTGGAAACACTTAGCATTCACTCTGTTAAGCATTTTTCAAGAATACAATATATTGTTATTAACTATAGTCACTATGTGGTACAGTAGATCTCAAACTTATTCCTTCTAACTGAAATCTTATATCCTTTGACCAACATCGCTTCAACTCACCAGCCCCACCCCCATCCTACCCCCACCACGGCCTCAGCTCTCGGTAACCACCATTCTGCTCTCTGCTTCTGTAAGATCAACTTTTTTCAATTCCCACATATGAGTGAGATCACGTAGTATTTGTTTTTCCTTGCCTGGCATATGTCATGTAACATAATGTCCTCCAGATTCATCCATGTTGTGGCAAATGACAGGATTTGTTTCTTTTTTCACAGCTGAATAATATTTCATTGTGTACATATACCACATTTTCTCTATTCATTCATCTGTTAATGGCCACTTAGGTTGATTCCATATCTTGGCTATTCTGAATAATGCTGCAATGAACCTGAAGTGCAGATATCTCTTTGACATACTGTTTTCATTTCCTTTGAATACATTACTCAGTAGTTGGATTGCTGGATCATATGGTAATTCTATTTTTAATTTTTTGAGGAACCTCCATACTGTTTTTCATAATGGCTGTTCCAATTTATATTCACACCAACAGTGTGAAAGGGTTTCCTTTTCTCCACATCCTCACCAACATTTTCTATCTTTTCTGGATAATAGTCACTCTGATGTGTGAGGTGATACCTGTTAACTTATGATTATCTCTTTATTCATAGTGTTCTGCAATTCAGCTGCAATTTATCTTCACTTCTAGAAAATTCTCAGCCATTATGTCTTTAAATATTGCATCACTGTCATTTCCTCCTTTCTCTTCTTTCAGAATTTTTGTTACATTAGAGTTGGTATCTATGAGAAGGCTGCTTGCTGTCAGACTAATTTTTATCCCTTTGTAGATAAATTCATTTAACTCTTTAATCTTTTTTAACTGACAGATGAAATGATACGTATTTATAGTGTACAATATGATCAATCAATCTTCCATGTCTCTTAATACTTTCTCTTCTTTGCCTGTATTCTGGATGTGTTCCTCCGCACCATTTTCCACTTCACTAATGCCTTCTTCAACTTTATCCAGGC